>NC_000022.11:29467139-29618654 GCF_000001405.40 Homo sapiens | reverse complement strand
AGATTGAATTATTAGAGTAAAATTCCAGCCTAGATAAGAAATAACATAGCCGTTTAGCCTCCTGGCAAATTACACTCAGCACCCACTTTCTCAAAATGACAAACAACAAATCTTTCAAGTGGAAAAATCTTCCAAAGCATCCAGCCAATTGAGCAATGCAGCAAGTAGTGCAGGAGATTTTTCCCCCTATCTCTGCAGTAAAAAGAAAAAAAGTCTGAACTTATTAGCATAAGGTAACATGACTCATATGTTAAATGCCACCGGTTCTGAAATTGAGTCCTTCTTGAAAAGCCACCTACATTTGACCTCAATAAAGTCAAGAATTCTACAAGTACTCTCTCTCTCCTTTTTTTTCAAAATGCATCTGCCATCTCCTTGCATCAGCACCTTGCTCATTAATGGACAACATAAAAAGCAGGCAGGAGAATAAAACTAATCACTTACCTGAGCCCTATCATCATAAATCAAACTATGATTACTTTCAACAGAATATGTGAACATGGTTTACAAACAGGTTTTTCCACTGGAAATCTGAGGTTCAGTGAGGTGTAATGGCTTGATAAATCACAACAGGGCAGTGCCCATGGTAACCAGAGCCTCCTACTTTAGGCCAATTATAGTCCCTCCTATATCTTCCTTTCTGCCAGGGACTATGCATTCCATGAATCCTTATAAGAACTCTGCAGGGTCAGCATTATTAGTCTCATTTTACCAATGAGAAAATAAGGTCCAGAGAGCTATGTAACTTGTCCAAAGTAGAAGTATTTTAGCTAGAATTCAAGCCCAGGTCTGTCTTCTTTCAAAGCCGATGCACTTTCTACTACTGCTCTGCTATTCAAAGTGTGGTCCTTGGGCCGGTGGCACAGGTATCATCACCTGAGAGTTTGTTATTAATACAAAATTCTCACTTCCATCCCAGAACTACTGAATCAGAACCTACATTTTTCCAAGATTCCCCAGGTCATTTATGTAAAATTAAAGTTTGGCAAGCTTTGCACTATACCATCCTGCCTCTCTGAATGTCACTACTATTATCCTTTTCTATAGATCAGTGGTTCTCAATGTGGTCATGGAGGTTGGGTAGGGAGAAAGAGGAGATTGGAGGGTGTCCTCCCTACCCCAGGGACACTTGACAATGTCTGAAGACATTTTTGGTTGTCACAACAACTGGGATGGGGTGGGGGAATGCTACTGGCATCTAGTAGGTAGAGGCCAGAGATCCTGCTAAACATCCTAGAACATACAAGACAGCTCCCCACAACAAAGAATCATCCAGCCAAAATGTCAATAGTGCCAGGGTTGAAAAACCTTGCTCTAGCTGATAATACTGTCCAACATCTTTGGGTCTGGAATCTACTTAATGAAGAAAAAAGAGCTTTTCCTGGCAAAATTGCGGCTGAAAAATGTCATACAAAATCCCTTTCCTGGATGGACACAGTGGTTCACACCTGTAATCCCAGCACTTTGGGAGACCAAGGAGGGCGGATCACCTGAAGTCAGGAGTTCAAGATCAGCCTGGCCAACATGGTGAAAGCCCATCTCTACTAAAAATACAAAAATTAGCCGGGCATGGTGGCACATGCCTGTAATCCCAGCTACTTGGGAGGCTGAGGCAGAAGAATCGCTTGAGCCTGGGTGACAGAGGTTGCAGTGAGCTGAGATCACACCATTGCTTTCCAACCTGGGCGACAGAGCGAGACTCCGTCTCAAAAAAAAAAACCCCCAAAAAACTAAAATCCCTTTCCTTATAGGCTAGTCTCTCTTACCCTCTCACAACATCTAACATCTATCAAATAGTAACTTAGATCAGAGATCAGCAAACTATGGCCCACAGGACAAATCCAACCCACCACCTATTTTTGTGTGGCCTGAGAACTAAGAATGATTTTTACTTTTTTTTTTTTTTTTTCTTGAGACGGAGTTTCACTCTTGTTGCCCAGGCTGGAGTGCAACGGCGTGATCTCAGCTCACCACAACCTCCGCCTTCCAGGTTCAAGTGATTCTCCTGCCTCAGCCTCCCGAGTAGCTGGGATTACAGGCGTGTGCCATCACGCCCAGCTAATTTTTCTATTTTCAGTAGAGGCAGGGTTTTACATATTGGCCAGGCTGGTATGAAACTCCTGACCTCGTCATCCGTCCACCTCGGCCTCCCGAAGTGCTGGGATTACATGCGTGAGCCACAGTGCCCAGCATGTTACATTTTTTAATGTTTATTTTCTTGTGAAAATTATGTGAAATTCAAATTTCTGTGTCCATAAAGTTTTCTTGGAACACAGTCATGCCCATTGTTTACATTTTGCCTAAGGTTTTTTTTAAACATCTTGATATATAATTCATATACCCTAAAATTCACCCATTTAAAGTGTATAATTCAGTAGTTTTTAGTACATTCAGTGTGTACAACCATCACCAGTCAGTTTTAGAGTATTTTCATCACTTCATAAATAAAACCTTGTATATTTCAGCTATCACACCCTCTACCCCACCCATTTTTCCCAGCCCTGAACAACCACTGATCTACTTTGTCTCTGTAGATATGCCTATCCTAGATTTGCATATGAATGGAATCATATGTGTTCTTTTGCGGCTGGTTTCTTTCACATAGCATAGTGTTTTCAAGGTCCATCCATGTTGAAGCACGTGCTGGTACTTCATTCTATTTTATTGCCAAGTAATTCCATAGTAAGGATAGACCACATTTTGTTTATCCATTCATCAGCTGATGTATATTTGAACTGTTTCTACCTTCTGGCTATTATGAATAATACTACTATAAACATTCACATATAAGTTTTTCTCGTAAAGCTATGTTTTCATTTCTCTTGAGAAGACATCTGTAAGTTGAATTGTGGGGTTATATGGTAACTCTGTGTTTAACTGTTTGAGGAACTGCCACCATGTTTTTCTTTTTATCTTTTTTGAGACTGGGTCTCACTCTGTCGCCCAGCCTGGAGTATAGCACCACAATCACAGCTAACTGCAACCTCAAAATTCTGGGCTCAAGGAATCCTACCACCTTGGCCTCTCAAGTAGCTGTGACTACAGAGGAACGCTACCACACCCAGCTAATTGTCTTCCTTTTTTTGAGACAGGGTCTCGCTTTGATTACCAGGCTGGAGGTGCAGTGGTGCAGTCATGCCTCACTATAGCCTCTCCCAGGCTCAAGTGATCCTCCCACCTCAACCTCCCAAGTAACTAAGACTACAGGTGCAAGCCACCACGCCTGGCTAATTTTTAAATTTTTTGTAGAGAAAAGGTCTCACTCTGTTGCCCAGGCTGGTCTCAAAATTCTGGCTTCAAGTGATCCTCCCACCTTGGTCTCCCAAAGTGCAGGAATTACATGTATGACCCACCATGCCTGGCTAACTAGTTTGCTTTTCAAACTGGCTGCACCATTTTACGGTCTTACCAGCAGTGTAAAAGGGTTCACATTTCTCCACATTTGTTTTTTGTTTTTGTTTTTGTTTTTTCCAGACAGAGTCTTGCTTTGTTGCCCAGGTTGGAGTGCAGTAGCACAATCTGAGCTCACTGCAACCTCCACCTCCCGAGTTCAAGTGATTCTCATGTCTCAGCCTCCAGAGTAGATGGCACTACAAGAGCATGCCACCACGGCTGGCTAATTTTTGTATTTTTAGTAGAGATGGGGTTTTGCTATGTTGGCCAAGGTAGTCTTGAACTCCTGTCCTCAAGCAGTCCACCTGCCTCAGCCTCCCAAAGTGCTAGGATTACAGGCATGAGCCACCACACCCAGCCTAATTTCTGTATTTTTAATATAGACAGGGTTTCACCATGTTGGCCAGACTGGTCTCAAACTCCTGGCCTCAAGTGATCCATCCACCTCAACATCCTAAAGTGCTCAGATTACTGGGGTGAGCCACCTCAACTGGCCCTTTGATCCATTTTAAGCTTTTTTTTGGGTGGGGGATGGAGACTCACCCTGTCACCCAGGCTAGAGTGCAATGGCGTGATCTCAGCTCACCCCTGGGTTCAAGCGATTCTCCTGCCTCAGCCTCCCAAGTAGCTGTGATTACAGGTGCCCGCCACCATGCCCAGCTAATTTTTTTTTTTTTTTTTAGATGGAGTCTCCCTCTGTCGCCCAGGCCGGAGTGCAGTAGTGCGATCTCGGCTTACTGCAAGCTCCACCTCCTGGATTCACGCCATTCTCCTGCCTCAGCCTCCTAAGTAGCTGGGACTACAGGCGCCCGCCACCACGCCCAGCTAATTTTGTTTTTGTATTTTTAGTACAGACAGGGTTTCACCATGTTAGCCAGGATGGTCTTGATCTCCTGACCTCGTGAGCCACCCACCTCGGCCTCCCGAAGTGCTGGGATTACAGGTGTTGAGCCACCGCACCCGGCCTACTTTTTGTATTTTTAGTAGAGATGGGGTTTCACCATGTTGGCCAGCCTCGTCTTGAACTCCTGACCTCATGATCCACCTGCCTTGGCCTCCCAAAGTGCTGGGATTACAGGTGTGAGCCACCGTGCCCAGCCATGAGTTAATTTTTGTATGTAGTGTGAGGTAAGGGTTTAATTTCTTCTTTTTTTTGCATGTGGCTATCCAGTTGTCTCAGCTCCATTTGTTGAAAGGACTATTCCGGCCGGGTGCGGTGGCTCACACCTGTAATCCCAGCACTTTGGGAGGCTGAGGCAGGTGGATCACGAGGTCAGGAGTTCGAGACTAGCCTGGCCAACATAGTGGAACCCTATCTCTACTAAAAATACAAAAATTAGCCGGGCGTTGTGACAGGCGCCTGTAGTCCAGGTACTCAGGAGGCTGAGGCAGGAAAATCACTTGAACCCAGGAGGCGGAGGTTGCAGTGAGCCAAGATTGCACCACTGCACTCCAGCCTAGATGACAGAGCGAGACTCCATCTCAAAAAAAAAAAGAAAAAAGAAAAGAAAGGACTATTCCTTCTCACAGTCTGTGGCATGTAGCAAGAAAAGACAAGACAAGACAGTTCTCCCCCACTGAATGGTCTTTGCACCCTTGTCAAGAATCAGGTGACCATGAACTCTCAACTCTATTCCACTGGGTTTATTTCTGGACTCTCAATTCTATGCCACTGATCTACACATTTATCCTTATACCAGTACCACACTGTCTTTTTATTTTTATTTTTTTGAAATGGAATCTCGCTCTGTCCCCCAGGCTGGAGTGCAATAGCACGATCTCGACTCACTGCAACCTCCACCTCCTGGGTTCAAGGGATTCTTGTGCCTCAGCCCTCCCAAGCAGCTTGGACTACAAGTGTGCACCCCCACGCCCGGTTAATTTTTGTATTTTTGGTAGAGACAAGATTTCGCCATGTTGCCCAGGCTGGTCTCGAACTCCTGTCCTCAAGTGATCTGCCTGCCTTGGCCTCCCAAAGTGTTGGGATTATAGGCATAAGCCACGGTGCCTGGTGACGTTGTCTTGATTAGTTGTTTTATAGTATGTCTTGAAATCACAAAGCGTGAGTCTTTCTGCTTTGTTCTTTTTCAAGATTTAGCTATTGTGGGTCCCTTGCGATTCCATAGGAATTTATGAATTGACTTGTCAATTTCTTTTTTTTTTTTGAGATGGAGTTTCGCTCTTGTTGCCCAAGCTGGAGTGCAGTGGCGCGTGATCTCAGCTCACCGCAAGCTCCGCCTCCCAGGTTCAAGCGATTCCCTGCCTCAGCCTCCCGAGTACCTGGGATTACAGGTATGTGCCACCACACCCGGCTAATTTTGTAGTTTTAGTAGAGACAGGGTTTCTCCATGTTGGCCAGGCTGGTCTTGAACTCCTGACCTCAGGTGATCCGCCTGCCTCGGCCTCCCAAAGTGCTGGGATTACAGGCATGAGCCACTACGCCTGGAGACTTGTCAATTTCTACAATGAAATAAACTGGGATTCTGACAGGGATTATGTCAAACGTGTAGATCAATTTCCAAAATACTGCCAATTTGACAACGTTATGTCTTATGATCCATGAACAAGAGCTATTTTCTATTTATTTATTTATTTATATCTTCTTTCTTTTAAAAATGTTTTACAGGCCAGGCACGGTGGCTCACACCTGTAATCCCAGCACTTTGAGGGGCCAACATGGGAGGTTGCTTGAGGTCAGGTTCAAGACCAGCCTGGGTAACACAGGGAGACTCTGTCTCTACAAGAAATTAAAAAACAAACAAACAAAAAAAAAAAGCTAGGGATGATCGCGCATGCCTGTGGTCTGAGCTGCTTGGGAGGCTGATATAGGAGGATCACTTAAGCCTGGAAGGTCTAGGCTGCACTGAGATATGATTGCACCACTGCACTTGTTCTCACTTCAGTGCAAGTCCGAGAAAAAAAAAAATCAATTAATTAAATATTTTAAAAGGCCAGGCTGGGCGCACTAGCTCACGCCTGTAATCCCAGGACTTTCAGAGGCTGAGGCGGGTGGATCACCTGAGGTCAGGAGTTCGAGACCAGCCTGGCCAACATGGTGAAACCCCCTCTATACTAAAAATACAAAAATTAGCCAGGCATGGTGGTGCACACCTGTAGCTCCAGCTACTCCGGAGGCTGAGGCAGGAGAATCGCTTTAACCTGGGAGGCAGAGGTTGCAGTGAGCCGAGATCGCGCCACCGCATTCCAGCCTGGACGACAGAGTGAGACTCCGTTTCAAAAAAAATTAATTTAAAAAACAAAACCAAAAATGTTTTACAGCTTTTAGAGTATAAGTTTTATACTTTCTTTTACTAAACTGTCAGAGGATGGAAAAAAAGATACCTCTTTTGTTATAAGTATTTTTATTTTTTAGGTTATTGTAAATGGAATTTTCTTAATTTCCTTTTCAGATTGTTCATTCCAAGTGGATACATTTACAACTAAGTTTTGTGTAATGATCTTGTATCCTATAACCTTACTAAACTAATAATTTATTAGTTCCAATACTTTGGTAGTGGATTCCTCAGGGTCTATATGCAAGATCATGTCATCTGCAGAGATGATCTTACTTGTTCCCTTCCAACATAGATGTATTTTATTGCATTTTCTTGCCTAATTGCCCTGGCTAGAACCTCCAGTACAATGCTGAATAGCAGTAGTGAAAGTAGACTTATCTCTCTTTTTCCTAATCTTAAGGATAAGCATACAGTCTTTCACTATTTTGTTTGTTTGTTTGTTTGTTTTGAGCTCTGTCGCCCAGCCTATTGTGTGCAGTAGTGCTATCTCAGCTCACTGCAACCTCTGCCTCCCAGGTTCAAGCAATCCTCCCACCTCAGCCTCCCAAGTAGCTACAATTATAGGTATGCACCACCACACCTGGCTAATTTTTTTTTGTATTTGTAGTAGAGACAGGGTTTCACCATGTTGGCCAGGCTGTTCTTGAACTCCTGACCTCAAGTGATCCCTCCAACCTTGGCCTCCTAAAGTGTTAGGATTACAGGCGTGAGCCACTGTGCCTGGCCTCAGTCTCACTATTATGAAGTTAGCTGTGGGTTTTTCATAACTGCTGTGTATCAGGTTGAGGAACTGCTCTTCTCTTCTTAGTTTATTTAGTGTTTTTATCATGAAAAACATGCTGAATTTTGTCAAATGCTTTTTCTGTGTCTACTGAGATGACAAGGTGATTTTTGTTTTTTATTCTATTGATATAATGCATTACATTATTTACACTAATTCATTTTTGGATGTTAAACCAACCTTGCACTCCTGGAATAAATCCTGCTTGTTTATGGTATATAATTATTTTTATATGTTACTGGATTCAGTTTGCTAGTATTTTTGTTGAGGATTTTTGCTTCCACATTTGTAAGATATATTTGTCTATGGTTTTCTTTTCTTGTAATGTCTTTTCCTGGTTTTTGGCAACAGGGTAATACCAGTCTCATAAAATTCGTTTGTAAGTATTTTCTCCTCTTTTTCATTTTTGAAGACTTTGTGAAGAACTGTATTAATTTTTCTTGAAATGTTTGATAGAATTCAGTGGTGAAGTTATCAGGACCTCTAGTAGGTACAGGCCTGGGCTTTGCTTTGCTTTTCTTTCTTCTTTTTTTTTTTTTTTGAGATGGAGTCTCACTTTGTCACCCAGGCTGGAGTGCAGTGGCGCAATCTCAGCTCACTGCAACCTCCAACTTCCCGGGTTCAAGCGATTCTCCTGCCTCAGCCTCTCGAGTAGCTGGGACTACAGGCGCACTCCACCATGCTCGGCTAATTTTTGTATTTTTAGTAGAGATGGGGTTTCACCATATTAGACAGGCTGGTCTTGAACTCCTGACCTCGTGATCTGCCCACCTTGGCTTCCCAAAGTGCTGGGATTACAGGCATGAGCCACTGCACCCAGCCTCTTTTCTTTTTTTTAAGAGACAGGGTCTCACTCTGTCACCCTGGCTGAAGCACTGTGGCACAATCATAGCTCACTGCCTCCTCAACCTCCTGGGATCAAGTGATCCTCACACCTTAACCTCCTGAGTAGCTGGGACTCCAGGCTCACACCACCACGCCTAGCTGAGTTTAGATATAGTATGTATATTTTAGAGTTGGGGTCTCTCTATGTTGCCCAGGTTGGTCTCAAGCTCCTGGCCTCAAAGGATCCTCCTGCCTTGACCTCCCAAAGTGCTGAGATTACAGGCAACAGCCACTGTGCCCAGGTCTCTCTCTCTCTCTCTCTCTCTAATTATTTATTTATTTTTTAAGGGTATACTATCCTACCCAAACTTATATTTTTAAATTCCATTAGACTCATATTACCAAGCATATAAACAAATCACACATAACACGAAATAGAAAAAAACATTAAGACTTCCTTTGCTTTTGGAAAACAACTGAGAAACAACAAAATTCTTTTCAGAAATACAGAAAAAAATTGTTTTTATAGTGTAGCTAATATGCCCTCCTTAGACATTAAGACACTTTTCTGTTTGTACCCTTAATGCAGCCATATTTTTACTCTTTATAAAAATCAAGGCTCTCAATAAAAACAGTATCTCACTCACTAATCATTAAATTGCATCACTGAAAATGTAGTTATACACACCAATTTCTAACTTCTTAGAATACTCTGCACAATCAATTATAATCACTGAAACGAATAACTGCTCAAAAACGCAGAATGGCTTCAACTACACTATGATTTGGTAGTCAATATTCCTGTTTTCCAGTAAAAAGGAGATTTCATAAACAAACATTGGGCTCCTTAAGGTTTCATCAATCAAGAGAATCTTTCTGAGCAGCTTCTGAGCAAATGTTTCTTAACAGGCTGATCACAGATCTAGGGTCTTCACTCCTCACCATAGCACTGCCAGACACAATCATGTTAGCTTCGCCTCTGCACACCTATGGACAGTGTCAGGATCTATTCCACCAGCGACCTCTATAGCCAAAGATGGGAACTGGATCCTCAACCAGTGAACCTTTAACATCATATCTTCCATGAATTTATGCCCTCCAAACCCTGGTTCCACTGTCATAACCAAGGTCATACCTAGTTGATTAGCCCATGGTGCCAAATACTGAACTGAGGTTCCTGGTTTTATGGCAAGGCCAACCTTCATCCCATTCTCCTGAATGTCTTTAATCAAAGCCCCTGGGTTCTCAGTTTCCTCGAGATGAAAGATGTACTGATTGGCTCCTCTTATAGCCATTGGCTTTACCCACTGTTCTGGCTTGGACACCATCACATGCATGTTCATCCATTACATTCCGGTGGAGATAATCGACCCCAGAGTCTAGCATCCAGAGGCACTGGGCCCCTAAATTGGCCAGGTAGCATTGAGGATGGACAGGCCAATCTTGCAGCCCGATGCCATACTACTGGTTCCCAAGGGCAAGTTACCCCACGAGTCCCCTCAATTACTAATTTAATATCTTTACTTGTTATAGGTCTATTCAGATAGTGTCTCTTCTTGGGTCAATTTTGGTGGTTTATATCTTTCTAGGAGTTTGTCCATTTTATTGAAGTTATCTAATTACTTGGCATTCAACTGCCATTTTACTTTTTTTTGTATGTGTTTCACATCTTTTTTTTTTTTTTCAGGGCAGGGATGGAGTCTCGCTCTGTCACCCAGGTTGGAGGGCAGTGGCACGATCTCTGCTCACTACAACCTCCGCCTCCCGGGTTCAAGCAATTCTCCCGCCTCAACCTCCCAAGTAGCTGGGGTTACAGGCACCCGCCATCATGCCCAACTAAATTTTTGTATTTTTGTAGAGATGGGGTTTCACCATGTTGGCCAGGCTGGTCTTGAACTCCTGACCTCAGGTGATCCACCCACCTCAGCCTCCCAGAGTACTCCCAAAGCCACTGTGCGGTGGCTGAGGCAGGAGAATCGCTTGAACCAGGGAGGCAGAGGTTGCAGTGAGCCGAGATTGCCCCACTGCACTCCAGCCTAGGCAACAGAGCGAGACTCTGTCTCAAAAAGAAAAAAAAAATTAACGAATTCTTTCTTCACCCAGTTCAAATCTGTTATTGAGTCCTGAGTCCCTCTAGTTAATTTTTAAATTTGTTATTGTACTTTTTTTTTTTTTTTTTTTTTTTTTGAGACAGAGTCTTGCTCTGTTGCCCAGGCTGGTGTGCAGTGGCTCGATCTTGGCTCACTGCAACCTCCGCCTCCCAGGTTCAAGGAATTCTCCTGCCTCAGCCTCCCGCGTAGCTGGGACTACAGGTGCCGGCCACCACGCCTGGCTAATTTTTGTATTTTTAGCAGAGACGGGGTTTTACCATGTTGGTCAGGCTGGTCTCGAACTCCCGACCTCAGGTGATCCGCCCGCCTCAGCCTCCCAAAGTGCTGGGATTACAGGTGTGAGCCACCGCGCCCAGCTGTTATTGTACTTTCAACTCCAGAATTTTCATTTGATTCTTTTTTTATAATTTCTATATCTTTATGGATATTCTTTAATTGATGCAACAGTGTCATACCATCCTTTACTTCTTTGTCATCATATTTTCCTTTAGTATTGTGAATATATATAGTACTGTGAATATATATATAGGCCAGTTTGAAGCCTTTTTCATTAATTTGGCCCCTTGTCTCACAGGCAGTTGCTGCTGCCAGCTTTTTTCCAGTGTATGTGTCATATTTTCCTGTTTCTTTGTACGTCTCACAATTTCTTGTTGGAAACTGGACATTTTAGATAATATACTGTAGCAACTCTGGGGATTGGTACCCCCTCTCCAGGGCCAATTGTTATTTATTTGTTTAGCGACTGGCTGGATTATTTGAGTGAAATCCATTTCCCCTGAAAAGTGTTAAGGCCTATGATATTGCTCTTCAGGGAGGTGCAGCTTTGGGTATGCTCACAGTCACCCTGGGATGACAGTGGTTTTGGTAGGGTTCTCTTCTATTCTCTCCTTGACCACACCCAGCTATGAAGCTCCACTAATTGTGGCATATTGTTCTATTATTTTCAACAACACACTGAGGCATAACTTGCTCTTACTCTACAAACTGATACAATCAAATTGTGGCTGTTTGGAGGAAAGCATTTTTTTCCACCTCTGCCACATACCTTACTTTTCAAATTGTTTTTTATTGATTCATAATAGTTGTACACATGTTGGGGGTACCTGTAGTATTTCGATACATTAATATACAATGTATAATGATACAACCAGGACAGGAGGGACATCCACCACCTCAGAGGTCTGTGGTCAATGTTTTGTTTTGTGACAGGACAGAGCTTCACTGTCACCCAGGCTGGAGTGCAGTGGCGTGATCTTGGCTCACTGCAACTTCCACCTCCCAGTTCACGTGATTTTCCTGCTTCAGCCTCCCAAGTAGCTGGGATTACAAGTGTATGCCCCCATGCCCAGCTAATTTTTGTATTTTTAGTAGAGATGGGGTTCACCATATTGGTCAAGCTGGTCTCAAACTCCCGACCTCAGATGATCTGCCTGCCTCAGCCTCCCAAAGTGCTGGGATTACAGGCGTGAGCCACCATGCTGCGGTCAATGTTTGATCCTTCTTCTGATCCTAGAATGGCTTCTTCCAGCTGTCTTATTCCCCAATTCTTTCCAGCAAACCAGGAGGCCTACAGTCTAGGCTGCATCTCCATTAAATCCGCAGATCTCCCAGTTGCCTCTTACCAAAACCTTCACATCTCCAGATTGCCCTTAGGCATGAATTTCTCCACACTGTGTTGCAAATGAAGTCACTGCCATTGGAAAGAGATTAGGAGCTATCTGTTTTAGGGCCTGCTTCTCTCCTGAGGCAAAATCCCGGAGCCAAGGCTCTGGAGCTGTGGGGAAGGACCCTGGAAAGATTCTCTCTGAGAAATACCCTCACTCTAGGAACTGAGCACTTGGTGGAAGGAGGCAGGGGACCGCAATAACCTGAGGCTCAGCCTGCAAGAACTGGGGGATGAGCAATTGGGGCACCAGTAATTTCAGTATGTCATGTCCAAGGTACAGTCCTGTTCCACAAGTAGGGACTAGGTGGAAGAAGGGAGCTCCAACTTTTCGCAGGGCACAGTGGCTCACGCCTATAATCCCAACACTTTGGGAGGCCGAGGCAGGTGGATCACCTGAGGTAGGGAGTTCAAGACCAGCCTGACCAACATGGAGAAACCCTGCCTCTACTAAAAATACAAAATTAGCCAGACATGGTGGCGCAAGCCTGCAATCCCAGCTACTTGGGAGGCTGATGTGGGAGAATCGCTTGAACCCGGGAAGCAGAGGCTGCGGTGAGGCGAGATCACACCATTGCACTCCAGTTTGAGCAACAAGAGCAAAACTCCGTCTCAAAAGAAAAAAAAAGAGAGCTCCAACTTTCAATTGCACTCACACAGGTTTTAACCTCAGCAACAAGTAGCTCTAGGTAGGATGAGAAATGCTGATGTCCTGCTTTTCCTGGGAAGAAAGCATTTGATTGGGAGCTGGGGGAGCAGTGCCCGGTATTACAGTTTGCAATAGTCTGGAGTAGAAGCTCCACCTCACTAAGCTAGGAGTGAGTAAGGAGGGAATGATCTTGGTTCAAATACCATACCCTCTCATCTTTCTTACCGAATTTGTAGATTTTCTTGAATAGGTGTTTTTTCATTTGTTGTTTGCCCTCAGGACCATTGCCGGAGGGTTTAAATAGTTGATTTTAAAAAAAGAATTTTTGGGCCAGGCGTGGTGGCTGCATCTGTAATCCCATCACTTTGGGAGGCCAAGGCGAGTGGATTGCTTGAGCTCAGGAGTTCAAGATCAGCCTGGGCAACATGGCAAAACCCTGTCTTTACAAAAATTAGCTAGGTGAGGCTGGGCGGGGTGGCTCACATCTGTAATCGCACCACTTTCCCACCACTTTGGGAGGCCCAGGTCGGCTGGTCACGAGGTCAGGAGTTCGAGATCAGCCTGCCCAATATGGTGAAACCCTGTCTCTACTAAAAATAGAAAAATTAGCCAGACGAGGTGGCGCACGCCTGTAATCCCAGCTACCTGGAAGGCTGAAGCAGGAGAATCACTTGAACCTGGAAGTGGAGGTGGCAGTGAGACAAGATCGCGCCATTGCACTCTAGCCCGGTGCACTCTGGGTGACAGAGCGAGACTCCGTCTCAAAAAAAAAAAAAAAAAAAAAATTAGCCAGGTGTGGTGGCACACGCCTGTGGTCCCAGCTACTCGAGAGGCTGAGGCAGGAGGACTGATTGAGCCAGGGAGGTTGGTCAGGGTTGCAGTAAGCCATGATCACACTACTGCATGCCAGCCTCGGTGACAGAGTGAGATTCTGTCTCAAAACGAAACAAAACAAAAAAGAATTTTCACCAGTTTTACAGAGGAATGGGTTCCTTAAGCTGTCATGCTGGAAGCTGATCTTATCTAAGGCTGCTTTTGTGTTACAATGGTAGAGTTGAAGAGTTGAATAACTCCAACAGAGATTCTCTAGTCTACAAAGTTGAAAATATTTACTATGTGGTCCTGTACAGAAAAAGCATGCCAACCCTTGCTTACTGCTGCCAATGCTGCTGGTCCACAAACCACACTTTTAGCAGCAAGAACTTAAATTACTTGAGAAGCAGTACTGTACGGGCTGTGAGCTTGGTTCAAAACCCCACCTTGCCATTTACTAGATAAATGGGTTTGTTCTGAGGATTAAATGTGCAAATGTCTAGCACTTTGAAAATACTGAACAATTGATAGCTGTTATCATCATGTTGGAAACTATGTGGAAAGTAAGTATGAGATGTTATATCGTTCTTCAAAGGGTTTTTTTTCCCAGAATATGCAAGCTTTAGAAAAGGGAAACAAGTATTGGCTTTCCAATAAACAAGACGCAACTTCTAATACCTGGGTACATAACAATATTACCTAATGAAAGAATAAACTTTCAAGCTTTTAAGCGTAAGCCTAACTTAAGCCTGACACTGAAATCCTGAATTTTCTATCACAGGAGCATCCAGCTTCTTCCAATAACAATGAATGAAAATAACCTTCAGGAAATGCCAAAACCCAAAAGTCCTATGAAAAAAAGCAGCAATCATCTTTAACATGAGGTTTTGGGCCTAGTTGGCCCTTCCGGTTCTGCCCGTCTCTAGCTACACCCATAAGATGATATAAAGAGAACCTCTCGAGCTTCCACCTCGACTGTCACCGCAGCAGTCGGGGCTGCCGGCCGGTTACCTCGCAATTGAACTCCATCTCGGCGTCCATGGTGACGATCCTCACGGTGAACGTCTTGGGTTGCTTCCTCTTGAGAGAGCTGAAGCTCATGCGGGAAGCGATGGCCCCGGCCATGGCGCGGGGCTCAGGCCCGGGACCCTCGCGCCCCACGGCCTGCACTCTGAGCCCTTTAGCCCCCCTGGAGTTGCTGCACAGGCCTCAGGGCCACCATGGTGGCCGGCTGCCCGGCCCGGGAACGGTCTGGGCTGCGCGGGTCCCCAGCGGCCAGCATGGGCCGCGAGGACCCTGCCTGAGCGGAAAGGGGAGTTGGGGGACGGGCCCTGACGGCTGCAGGGAGGGCACAGGAGCCGGGACCTTCGGTGCAGGCGCGACCCGGCACTCCGGGATTCGGGCCGGAGATGCCGGGGACGCCTCGGGACGGGACCCCTAGACGGCAGCGGCCCAGACTCCGCGCGCCTCTCAGCGGCCGACTAGGGTCACGGGGCCGCGCTGCATCGGGCGCGTACGCGCGCGCGTGGCTGTCACCGTCCTCACTCCGCGCGCCCGCGGGAAGCGCACCCTCCCCACAGCCCGGGGCCTGCTCCCGGCCCCGCCCTCAGGTCGCCCAGACCACTACGCGCAGCGCAACCGAACCGGAGGCTGACGCATAGATGCTGCGATTGGCTGGGAAGGCCAAGGTAGGCAGGACTTTCCCGCTCCGTCCCGCCTCCTTTGGGGTGACTCCACCAATGGAAAGTTTCACTCTAACTGCAAAAAAAGCAGGCCTAGGCTCGGCGTTGAGTGGCTACAGTGGCAGTCACTCTGAATGCTTTTGTGCCTACTCTAACAAGACTGGTTGAGGCGGCGGACCTCTGCTGACCTTACCCGGGAAACCACTTAGAGGCTGGATCCGGGGCGAGGGGAATTGGGTCCTTCGTTGGCCCAGGGAGGGACTCTTCGGTTCAAGTAGGCTCCGAGTGTGGCGCCCCAGGGGACTGCGTTTCGGACACACGGCGAATATTCTTCTTTGGCAGTTAATCACATATACCGACCCCTATGAAACTTTAAAGACACTTGTGGAGGCCTGTTAGGTTTGCTGGCACTTTCCCGCCAGATCCCTCTGCTTCCCTTTAGAATTATTATTATTATTGTTATTATTATTATTATTAATTATTATTATTATTGGGACGGAGTTTCGCTCTTGTTGCCCAGGCTGGAGTGCAGTGGCGCGATCTCGGCTCACTGCAACCTCCGCCTCCCGGGTTCAAGCGATTTTCCGGCGTCAGCCTCCCGAGTAGCTGGGATTACAGGTATGCGTCACCACGCCCGGCTAATTTTGTATTTTTATTAGAGACGGGGTTTCTCCATGTTCGTCAGGCTGGTCTCGAACCTCAGGTGATCCGCCCGCCTCGGCCTCCCGAAGTGCTAGGATTACAGGCGTGAGCCACCACGCCCCGCCTAGAATTATTATTGGTTATACCTACCTCGTGAGGTTGTTGAATTTCAGCGCACTGAATACATATAAGGCTTTAGAGCTGAGCCTGGCATCCTATGAAATTGCTGAATTTGGGTTGAAAATGAAAGCATTCTTTATTTTATACTCTATGATGCCCATTTTTGAACCGTATTCATGTATTATTTATTTAGTGTCATCAAGGGTTCTAACGGGTGTAGGGGGGATAATTACACCTTTCTGTACTTAGATAATAAATTCTATTTTAAAATAGCTCTTAGTAGTCAAATAGGGACAATTTACTGTGTTTTTTCGTTTGTTTTTTGTTTTGAGACAGAGTTTCGCTCTTGTTGCCCAGGCTGGAGTACAATGGGGCGGTCTCGGCTCTCTGCAACCTCCGCCTCCCGGGTTCAAGCAATTCTCCTGCCTCAGCCTCCCCAGTAGTTGGGATTACAGGCACCCGCCACCACGCCCGGCTAATTTTTGTATTTTTAGTAGGGACGGGGTTTCACCATGTTAGCCAGGCTGGTCTCAAACTTCTGACCTCAGGTGATCTGCCCACCTTGGCCTCCCAAAGTGCTGGGATTACAGGCGTGAGCCACCGCGCCCGGTGTACTGAGTTTTAACAACAATAATCACCCCATAAATGTTAGCTAACATTAGCATCACCCCCCCAACTCCACAGGTGAAGATACTGAGAGATATGATAGAGCCACTCGCTGACTATAATGCAGATAGTGAAAGGCAAAGCTAGGACTCAAACCCAGGTCTGTCCCACCCAGAGCCTGCTGGTTAGCACTGTGCTGCCCTGCTTCCAAATTCTCCCTACTACAGCCTCAGGAAATGTGAATTACAGTTCCGGAGTACTCAGCAGACATTGTTGCTGTAACGGTATATTAATGGAATAAATCTAGTTCTTCTGCACGGACCCCTGCTGTGCCTGGTAGCACCGGCCAGGCCTCAGGAATGATTTGCTGCCACACCCAGTGAGGCTGCTGTGGGGACTTTATGTCCTGCCTTCTGCTAGCAAATTCTCCCCACCAAAACTGATTGCTCAGGGCAGTATGGGCTTGGCATGGGAGTGTCTTCATTATCATTGCTTCATTTCTTCCCCGCAGGTGGGAGAACCGGGCTGGGTTTTCTGGGCTCCCCACAGGGACAACAAATGGCTGCTGATAAAAATACGTGACACCGGGCCGGGCCCAGTGGCTCACGCCTGTAATCCCAGCACTTTGGGAGGCAGGCAGATCACAAGGTCAGGAGATCGAGACCATCCTGGCTAACACGGTGAAACCCTGTCTCTACTAAAAATACAAAAAATTAGCCGGGCGTGGTGGCGGGCGCCTGTAGTCCCAGCTACTCGGGAGGCGGAGGCAGGAGAATGACGTGAACCCGGGAGGCGGAGCTTGCAGTGAGCCGAGATGGCGCCACTGCACTCCAGCCTGGGCGAGAGTGCGAGACTCCGTCTCAAAAAAAAAGGAAAAAGAAAATGCGTGACACTGGGAACCCAGTGAGGAGTAGCAAAAGGAGGTGGATCAGCTAGCAGGGACTAAAAAGCGACACTGATGATTGGTAATAGCTCATTTTTATGAAAAGACTTGCCAGGTGCTAGGCACTGGGCTAATTGGCCCCAAATGCCAAATTTAATGTTCCTGGGAGGACATCCAGCTGGACATATGGGTTTGAATCCCAGAAGGGAGGTCAGGGCCAGGAATAAAAATCGATGTGATAGAATCTTTTGCTGGTATTAAAAGTGCCATTCACAGGTTGGACACAGTGGCTTACACCTGTAATCACAGCACTTTGGAAGACCAAGGTTGGAGGATCACATGAGGCCAGGAGTTCGAGACCATCCTGGGCAGCATAGTAAGACCCCATCTCTACAAAAAAAAGTAAAAATTTAGCCAGTGTGTGCCAGGTGTGGTGGCTCACACCTGTAATCCCAGCACTTTGGGAGGCGGAGGCAGGTGGATCACTTGAGATCAGGAGTTCAAGGCTAGCCTGGCCAACATGGTGAAACCCCGTCTCTACAAAAATACAAAAAAAATTAGCCGGGCGTGGTGGCGCACGCCTGTAATCCCAGCTACTCCAGAGGCTGAGAGAGGAAAATCGCTTGAACCCAGGAGGCAGAGGTTGCAGTGAGCTGAGACCATGCCATTGCACTCCAGCCTAGGTGACAGAACAAGACTTCATCTCAAAAAAAAAGAAAAAAAAATTAGCCTGTGTGGTGGAGTGTGCCTGCAGTCTCAGCTACTCAGTGGGGCTGAGGCGGGATGGTCACACCAGACCAGGAGTTGGAGTCCACATGAGCCATGATGGTGTTATTGCATACCAGCCTGGGTGACAGAGTGAGACCCCCAGCTCCCCAAAAAATGCCATTCATAAAGAATAAATACGGGCCGGGCGCGGTGGCTCACGCCTGTAATCCCAGCACTTTGGGAGGCAGAGGCGGGCGGATCATGAGGTCAGGAGATCGAGACCATCCTGGCTAACACAGTGAAACCCCGCCTCTACTAAAAATACAAAAAATTAGCCGGGCGTGGTGGCGGGCGCCTGTAGTCCCAGCTACTCGGGAGGCTGAGGCAGGAGAATGGCGTGAACCCGGGAGGTGGAGCTTGCAGTGAGCCGAGATCGCGCCACTGCACTCCAGCCTGGGCAACAGAGCGAGACTCCGTCTCAAAAAAAAAAAAAAAAAAAAAAGAATAAATACGGCCAGGCACAGTGGCTCACACTTCTAATCCCAGCAATTTGGGAGGCCGAGGTGGGTGGATCACCTGAGGTCAGGAGTTCAAGACCAGCCTGGACAACATGGTGAAACTCCCGTCTCTACTAAAAATACAAAAACTTAGCCTGGCTTGGTGCTGGGTGCCTGTAATCCCAGCTAGTCGGGAGGCTGAGGCAGGAGAATCTCTTAAACCCAGGAAGCAGAGGTTGCAGTGAGCCGAGATCGCGTCATTGCACTCTAGCCTGGGCAACAAGAGTGAAAATCCATCTCAAAACAAAAAATAATAATAAATAAATAAACACAGATGATAATTATATGCACCAGATAAGGGTCTGAGGGGGAATTCAGATAGAGCTTATTATGATCTGGCACACAGACCCCAGTTAATAAATATCTGTTGAATGAATGAGTGACGGTCATAAAGAAATACTTACGGTGTCAACTATGGTCTGGACAATATTAGTAGCTACCATATTTTAAATGCTTACCATATACAGCACTCTGCAAAGTGCTTTGCATGCTTTGTTTATCTTGATCTTCTTTTTTTTTTTTTTGACATGGAGTCTTGCACTGTAGCCCAAGCTATGGTGCAGTGGCACGATCTCGGCTCACTGCAACCTCTGCCTCTGGGGCCCAAGCAATTCTCCTGCCTCAGCCTCCAGAGTAGGTGGGACTACAGGTGCGCCACCACGCCCAGATAATTTTTTGTATTTTAGTAGAGACGGGGTTTCACCATGTTGCCCAGGCTGGTCTGGAACTCCTGACCTCAGGTGATCCACCCGCCTCAGCTTCCCAAAGTGCTGGGATTACAGACATGAGCCACCGCGCCCAGACTATTTTGACCTTTTTCAAAACCACATTTGGTAGGTGTAATATCCTCAGTTTATATCTGAGGAAACTGAATAAGGCTGAAAAGAGGTAATTTACCCACAGCCATGATTGGTAGAGCTGCAATTTGCATCTAGGAGTGGTTTCATCCATATCTCTCCTGATTTACACTTTGCTCTTCCAGATCAGTGTTTCTCAGATAGTGGTCCCTGCCCTACAGGGGACATTTGGCAATGTCTGGAGACTTTTTTGGTTGTCACAACTGGGGGATGTTCCTGGCCTCTAAGGGTAAAAGCCAATGATGGCGTTCAACATTCCACAATGCGCAGGACAACTCCCCACAATAAAGAATTATCCAGGTCAAAGTGTCAATAGTGCCAAGATAAAGAAACTGTGCTCTAGAGCAGAGATTTTTGTTTGTTTCTGAGACAAGGTCTCGCTCTGTCGCCCAGGCTGCAGTGCAGTGGCAAGATCATGGCTCAGCCTAGACCTTCACTGGATCAAGTGATCCCTCCGCCTCAGCCTCCCGCGTAGCTGGGACTGAGAGGTGAGGTCATGCTGGCAGCCCTCGCAGCCCTCGCTCGCTCTCGGTGCCTCCTCGGCCTTGGCACCCACTCTGGCCGCGCTTGAGGAGCCCTTCAGCCCGCCGCTGCACTGTGGGAGTCCCTTTCTGGGCTGGCCACGGCCGGAACCGGCTCCCTCAGCTTGCGGGGAGGTGTAGAGGCAGAGGCACGGGCAAGAACTGGGGCTGCGCGCGGCGCTTGCGGGCCAGCGCGAATTGCGGGTGGGCGTGGGCTCAGCGGGCCCCGCACTTAGAGCGGCCGGCCCGCCGGCAAGCCCCGGGCAGTGAGGGGCTTAGCACCTGGGCCACCAGCTGCTGTGCTCGATTTCTCGCCGGTCTTAGCTGCCCCTCCGCGGAGAAGGGCTTGGGACCTGCAGCCCGCCATGCCTGAACCTCTCTGCCACCGCCGTGGGCTCCTGCGCAGCCGGAGCCTCCCCGACGAGCGCCGCTCCCTGCTCCAGGGCGCCCAGTCCCATCGACCGTCCGACGGCTGAGGAGTGCAGGCGCATGGCGGGGGACTGGCAGGCAGCCCCATCTGCGGCCACGGTGCAGAATCCACTGGGTGAAGCCAGCTGGGCTCCTGAGTCTGGTGGGGACTTGGAGAACCTTTATGTCTAGCCAAGGGATTGTAAATACACCAATCAGCACTCTGTATCTAGCTCAAGGTTTGTAAGCACACCAATCAGCACTCTGTGTCCAGCTCAGGGTTTGTGAATGCACCACTCCATACTCTGTTATCTAGCTAGTCTGGTGGGGACTTGGAGAATCTTTATGTCTAGCTAAGGGGAATGCACAAATCGGCACTCTGTATCTAGCTCAAGGTTTGTAAATGCACCAATCATCCCTCTATGTCTAGCTCAGGGTTTGTAAATACACCAATAGACACTCTGTATCTAGCTAATCTAGTGGGGAGGTGGAGAACTTTCGTGTCTAGCTCAGGGATTGTAAACGCACCAATCAGCACCCTGTCAAAATGGACCAATCAGCTCTCTGTAAAACAGACCAATCGGCTGTCTGTAAAATGGACCAATCAGCAGGATGTGGGTGGGGCCAGATAAGAAAATAAAAGCAGGCTGCCGGTGCTAGCAGTGATAACCTGTGCAGCTTGTTTCATATATTGTGGGAGCTTTGTTTGTTTGCTCCTTGTTTGGGTCCACAGTGCTTTTATGAGCTGTAATATTACCTGCAAAGGTCTGCAGCTTAAGTCCTGAAGCCAGCGAGACTACGAACCCACCGGGAGAAAGGAACAACTCCAGAAGCGCCGCCTTAAGAGCTGTAACAGTCACTGCGGAAGTGTGGAGTTTCACTTCTGAGCCGGTGACCATGAACCCACCAGAAGGAAGAAACGCGGAACACATCAGAACATTAGAAGGAACAAACTTTGGACACGTCGCCTTTAAGAACTGTGACACTCAACATGAGGGTCCTCGGCTTCATTCTTGAAGTCAGTGAGACTGAGAACCCACCAATCCCGGACACAGGACTACAGGCATGCACCGTCACGCAACGTTAATTTTTTTTTTTTGGTAGAGACAGTTTTGTGATGTTGCCCAGGCTGGTCTCCGGGGTTCAAGCCATTTTTCTGTCTCAGCCTCCCAAAGTGCTGGAATTACAGATGCGAGCCACTGTGCTTGGCCTGTATGTTACTTTAAGCCACTAAATGTATAGCAATTTATTGCACAGCAATAGAAAGCAGCCAGAAAGAAAAACATTTTTTGGTAAAGAAATGGGAACTCACTCTCACCCAAGCTGGAGTGCTGCTGTGACACGATCATAGCTAATTGTGGCTCTGAGTTCCTAGGGTCAAGAGATCCTTGCACCTCAGCCTCCCAATTAGCGGGGGCTAAAGGCACCACCATGCCATGCTAATTTTTAAAAAATTTTTTGTAGAGACAAGGATCTTGCTATGTTGCCCAGGCTGGTCTCAAACTCCTGGCCTCAAGCGATCCTCCCAGCTTGGCATTCGAAAGTGCTGGGGTTACAGGTATGAGTCACCCAGCTCACCTCGCCCGACCAAGAAAAACAACTGTTGGGGCTGAGCGCAGTGGCTCACTCCTGTAATCCCAGTATTTTGAGAGGCGGAGGCGGGTGGATCACCAGATCGGGAGTTTGAGAGCAGCCTGACCAACATGGTGAGAACCTGTGTCTTAAAAAAATACAAAAGTTAGCTGAGCGCAGTGGTGCGTGCTTATAGTCCCAGCTACTGGGGTGGCTGAGGCAGGAGAATCGCTTGAACCCAGGAAGCAGAAGTTGCAGTGAGCTGAGATCGCGCCACTGCACCCCAGCCTGGATGACAGAGCGAGATTCCGTCTCAAAAAAAAAAAAAAAATTTAACTCGCATAATCCACTGACCCACTGCTATCGCATACTACTTATTGTTTTATGATTTGTTAATTTTATTTTTTTTGAGACGGAGTCTTAGCTGGGCTGGAGTGCAGTGGCGCAATCTTGGCTCACTGCAACCTCCTCCTCCTGGGTTCAAGCAGTTCTCTGCCTCAGCCTCCCGAGTAGCTGAGATTATAGGTGCCCGCCACCACGCCCGGCTAATTTTTGTGTTTTAGTAGAGACGGGGTTTCACCATCTTGGCCTGGTTGGTCTTGAACTCAGGACCTTGTGATTCACCCACCTCGGCCTCCCAAAGTGCTGGGATTACAGGCGTGAGCCACCACGCCTGGCCATTTGTTAATTTTTCATTCATTAATATCCTCACCCGTCACTAAATATTTTATAATATAATTTTCTAAGAAATGTACAGGACTTTATGTATGGATGTAAATTTTAAGTTTTTTTCTCTTACACACATTGTAACTCAAGTAATCAAGTTTCCTTCCTGCTGGTAAGAAGCTCAGAGCCAAATTGTATGTCTGCCTCTGGCAATTGTACTTGACCTTGCCTTATTTTTGGCTTTATTTTATTCTTGCTGCTCTTGCTTACTTTACAGTGAATTTTTCCCTACCCACTTACTATTTAATTGTTGCACTAGCTGTATTTCTTTTTACACAGTTATAGATCTCTTATTTAAGGTTTTGTTATTGTTTATTCTTCTTGGGACAAGACCTTACATAACAAATTTGTTTTTTGAGATGGAGTCTTGGTCTGTCACCCAGGCTGGAGTGCAGTGGCGCGATCTCGGCTCACTGCAACCTCCGCCTCCCAGGTTCAAGCAATTCTGTCTCAGCCTCCAGAGTAGCTGGGATTACAGGTGCCTGCCACCACGCATGGCTAATTTTTGTATTTTTAGTAGAGACAGGATTTCACCATGTTGACCAGGCTAGTCTCGAACTCCTGACCTCAAGTGATCCGCCTGCTTCGGCCTCCCAAAGTGCTGGGATTACAGGCGTGAGCTACCGCGCCCCACCAACAAAGTATTTTTTAATGTGTATAATTTATAAGCTTTTTATTTTGACCTAATATTGGACTTAAAACCTGCAAAAATAGTAGAGTTTCTCTATATCCTTCACTTAGCATCCTCTAATGTTAACATTTTAGTTAATCGTAATACAATGATCAAAATCAAGAAATTAACATTGAGGCCTGGTGCCTGGCTCATGCCTGTAACTCTTAACACTTTGGGAGGTCAAGGTGGGTGGATTGCCTGAACTCAGGAGTTGATGAAGAGCCTGGCCAATGTGACAAAACCTCATCTCTACTAAAAATATAAATTAGCTGGGCATGGCGGTGCATGGATGTAGTCTCAGCTACTCACTGCCAGCTCCACCTCCCTGGATTCAAGGATTCTTGTGCCTCAGCCCTCCCTTGTAGCTGGGACTACAGGCGTGTGCCACCACACCCAGCTAATTTTTGTATTTTCAGTAGAGAAGGGTTTTGCCATGTTGCTCAATGTGGTCTTGAACTCCTGGGCTCAATTAATCCACCTGCCTCGGCCTCCCAAAGTGTTGGGATTACAGGCATGAGTCACCGTGTCCGGCCAGCCTTGACACTTTTTAAAGAGTATGTATGGGCTGGGCGCAGTGGCTCATGCCTGTAATCCCAGCACTCTGGGGGGCTGAGGCAGGTGGATCACCTGAGGTCAGGAGTTTGACACCAGCCTGGCCAATGTGGTGAAACCCTGTCTGTACTGACAATACAAAAAATTAGCTGGGTGTGGTGGTGGACGCCTGTAATTCCAGCTACTCGGGACGCTGAGGCAGGAGAATCTCTTGAACCCAGGAGGAGGAGGTTGCAGTGAGTCAACATCGTGCAACTGCACTCCAACCTGGGTGACAGAGCGAAATTCCATCTCAAAAAAAAAAAAAAAAGTATCGATAGAATATATTTCTCAAAGGTCTGTCTCGTTGGTTTGTCTTACATTTGCTTAGAATTGGACTGATGTTCTAGATGCATTTTTGTAAGCTGCACCAGCTGAGATAGCAATAAGCAAACTAAGAGGTTCTTGCCTATCTTGCAGTCTGAGGCTCAGTGAGGTAACCCGACTCATTAAACATCACCTGACCCAGATGACCTTGCATGGTCAGAGGCTCAGCCAAGGCACCACACTGGGGTACTGAAGCTGAATGAAAGCAGGCTGCAGGTAATAACTCCTATCTGGACCTAGAACACTTTTGGAAATAAGTAGTACTCCTCGTGTCCTCTGTTCTCTTCAGGCCAGATTGCAGAGATTTGAATTTCTCTAGGATGTCAGTTGATGGTGGAGGCAGACAGGCCTGAGGTAGAATTTCTATTTCTCTGTGACCTTGGGCAATTTAACTTCTCTGAGTTTCAGTTACCCCGTTTGTAAAAATGGTAATACTGTAATAATAAATGCTATGACAAGTTTAAAACCCCTCGTAAACCATAATTAATATTTATCGGCCGGGCGCGGTGGCTCATGCCTGTAATCCCAGCATTTTGGGAGACTGGGGTGGATCACCTCAGGTCGGGAGTTCAAGACCAGCCTGACCAACATGGAGAAACCCCGTCTCTATTAAAAACACAAAATTAGCCGGGCGTGGTGGCATGTGCCTGTAATCCCAGCTACTAGGGAGGCTGAGGCAGGAAAATCTCTTGAACCTGGGAGTCAGAGGTTGCAGTGAGCCGAGATCACACCATTGCACTCCAGCCTGGGCAACGAGTGAAACTCCGTCTAAAAAAAAAAAAAAAAAAATTATCAAGCACCTCCTATGTCCAAGGTGCTGTGTTACCTCAAAAAGATTTTTTACCATTTCCTGGCCTTCGTTCCATCATCACTTAAAAAGGAGAGAATAAGAAATGGGGGCAAGGCACAGTGGCTCCCCTGTAATCCCAGCACTTTGGGAGGCCAAGGAGGGAGGATTACTTGAGCCCAGCAGTTTGAGACGAGCCTGGGCAATATGGCAAAACCCCGTCTCTACTAAAAATATAAAAAATTAGGCCAGACGCAGTGGCACACACCTGTAATCCCAGCACTTTGGGAGGCTGAGCCAGGTGGATTACCTGAGGTCAGGAGTTCAAGACCAGCCTGACCAACATGGTGAAACCCCGTCTTTACTAAATACAAAAAAATTAGCCAGGTGTGGTGGCTCATGCCTGTAATCTGAGCTACTTGGGAGATTGAATCACTTGTACCTGGGAGGCTGAGGTTGCAGTGAGCTGAGGTTGCGCTATTGCACTCCAGCCTGGGCAATAAGAGCAAAACTCCATCTCAACAACAACAACAGCCGGGCGCGGTGGCTCACGCCTGTAATCCCAGCACTTTGGGAGGCCCAGGCGGGTGGATCACGAGGTCAGGAGATCAAGACCATCCTGGCTAACACAGTGAAACCCCGTCTCTACTAAAAATACAAAAAATTAGCCGGGCGAGGTGGCAGACGCCTGTAGTCCCAGCTACTCGGGAGGCTGAGGCAGGAGAATGGCGTAAACCCCGGGGGGCAGAGCCTGCAGTGAGCCGAGATCGCGCCACTGCACTCCAGCCTGGGCGACAGAGCGAGACTCTGGCACAAAAACAACAACAACAACAACAACAAAATTAGCTGGACATGGTGGTGCGAGCCTGCAGTCCCAGCTACTCTGAAGGCTGACATGGGAGGATCGCTTGAGCCCAAGAAGTCCAGGCTGCAGTGAGCTGAGATTGCACCACTACACTTCAGCCTGGGCAATGGGAGTGAGATCTTGTCTCGAAAAAAAATAATAATTATTTTATTTTTTTGAGATGGAGTCTCATTTTGTCACCCAGGCTGGAGTGCAGTGGCATGATCTCGGCTTGCTGCAACCTCTGCCTCCTGGTTTGAAGTGATTCTCCTGCCTCAGCCTCCCAAGTAGCTGGGACTACAAGCGTGCACCACCACGCCTGGCTAATTTTGTATTTTTAGTAGACACTGGATTTCACCATGTTGGCCAGGATGGTCTCAAACTCCTGACCTCAAGTGATCTGCCTGCCTCCACCTCCCAAAGTGCTGGGATTACAGGCATGAGCTACCCTGCCCACCCAAAAGAAATAAAAATAATTTTAAAAAAGAAATGGAGGCCAGGCATGGTGGCACATGCCTGTAATCCCAGCTACTTAGGAGGCTGAGGCAGGGGAATCGTTTGAACCCACGAGGCAGAGGTTGCAGTGAGCCGAGACCGCGCCATCGCACTCCAGCCTGGGCAACAGAGTGAGACTCCATCTCAAAAAAAAAAAAAAAAAAAAAGAAATGGAATTTCAAATAGTAAATCCATCCTAAAAGCACAAATTTATTGAATTGTTACTGAATGCTCTTTTTTTTTTTTTCTTGAGACGGAGTTTCGCTCTTGTTGCTCAGGCTGAAGTGCAGTGGCACGATCTCAGGTCACTGCAACCCGCCTTCTGGGTTCAAGCGATTCTCCTGCCTCAGCCTCCCAAGTAGCTGGGATTACAGGCATGCACCACCATGCCTGGCTAATTTTGTATTTTTAGTAGAGACGGGGTTTTTCCACGTTGGTCAGGCTGGTCTCGAACTCCCAGCCTCAGGTGATCCTTCTGCCTTGGCCTCCCAAAGTGCTGGGATTATAGGCATGAGCCACCACGCCCGGCAATTTTTGCATTTTTGTAGAGATAAGAGTTTTGCCATGTTGCCCAGGCTGGTCTTGAACTCTTGGGTTCAAATGATCTGCCCACCTCGGCCTCCTACAGAGCTAAGATTACAGGTGTGAGCCATTGCACCCAGTCTAAATGTCCCCTGTTCACAAGGACATTAGTCATACTGGATTAGGGCTCACCCTAATGACCTAATTTTAATTTTATTACTTCTTTCAAGACCCTATTTCCAAATAAGGTCACATTCCGAGGTACTAGGGGTTAGGACTTCAACATCTCTTTTTGAGGAAACACAATTCAACCCATAGCTCCCTGCTTGCAGGAGTGGACTCAAGTGGCCATATTTATGCTGGGGAGGACCAGGAATGTCATATTTATTTGTTTGTTTGTTTTTTGAGACAGAGTCTAGCTCTGTCACCCAGGCTGGAGTGCAGTGGCACCATCTCGGCTCGCTGCAACCTCCACCTCCCAGGTTCAAGTGCTGCTTCTGCCTCAGCCTCCCAAGTAGCTGGGATTACAGGCATGGGCCACCAAGTCTGGGTAATATTTGTATTTTTAGTAGAGACCGGGTTTCACCACGTTGTCCAGGCTGGTCTCAAACTCCTAACCTCAGGTGATCCACCCACCTCAGCCTCCCAAAGTGTTGGGATCATAGGCGTGAGCCACCACTCCTGGCCAGCCTCCCTCATTTAAATGTCATATTTTACAAGAAGGATGCCATGCTGTAAACTTAACATGATTCAAAACTTTGTGTTCCAAGAATACGAGTAGGAGATGAAATGCACTCACATAACTCATAAATCTGCACAACCATCTGACCACATTTTTGCTTTTGATCCTGCTTTGTATCTTTGCAGCATTATCTGTACCTGCGGGCAGTCTCCTAAATTAACAGCACCACCTGTCATGGAGGTGGTTTGGTCTTCTTCATGGTGTCTCATCATGTCCAATATCCACTCCAAAGGTGTTGATTTGAGGACATGCTTTTCAGCACTAGCCCCTCTCCTTCAGGAATGCTTGAATGATGTTGTTGTATCCTTTTTCTTATTTGTTTGTTTTTGTTTTTTCTGAGATAGAGTCTTGCTCTGTCACCCAGGCTGGAGTGCAGTGGCACAATCTCAGCTCATTGCAACCTCCATCTCCTGGATTCAAGCAATTCTCCTGCCTCAGCCTCCTGAGTAGCTAGGATTACAGGCATGTGCCACCACACCCAGCTAATTTTTGTATTTTTAGTAGAGACCAGGTTTCACCATGTTGGCCAGGCTGGTCTCGAACTCCTGACCTTGTGATCCGCCTCTCTTGGCCTCCCAAAGTGCTGGGATTACAGGCATGAGCCACCGCGCCTAGTCTTGTTATAGCCTTTTAAAGTGGTTTATAATAACAGTGTCTGGCCAAATAATAGCACAAAAAAACAATTGCTAGTGTCCCAAGCACGTCAACAACCGTGTGATTTGCTCAGTAATGACAGGATGTGGGCATTTGCTTCCTTGCTAAAGTGGCGCCACCTTGTGGCAATAGCATAAACACAGTTTATAATCCACTCCACCAGCTTTGAAATTGTTCTATACTTAACAGGTTAATTTTTTCCCCTAGCATTTGTATTATTTATAATCTATACGCGGAGTGGAACTTTTTGTTCTTTTTTTTTTTTTTTTTTTGAGACGGAGTCTCGCTCTGTCGCCCAGGCCAGACTGCGGACTGCAGTGGCGCAATCTCGGCTCACTGCAAGCTCCGCTTCCCGGGTTCACGCCATTCTCCTGCCTCAGCCTCCCGAGTAGCTGGGACTACAGGCGCCCGCCACCGCGCCCGGCTAATTTTTTGTATTTTTAGTCGAGATGGGGTTTCACTTTGTTAGCCAGGATGGTCTCGATCTCCTGACCTCATGATCCACCCGCCTCGGCCTCCCAAAGTGCTGGGATTACAGGCGTGAGCCACCGCGCCCGGCCTTTGTTCATTTTTTTTTTGAGTCAGAGTCTCGCTCTGTTGCCCAGGCTGGAGTACAGTGGCATGATCTCGGCTCACTGCAACCTCTGCCTCCATCTCGGCTCACTGCAACCTCTGCCTCCTGGGTTCAAGCGATTCTCCTGCCTCAGCCTCCTGAGTAGCTGGGATTACGGGCGCACACCACCACACCTGGCTAATTTTTGTATTTTTAGTAGAGATGGAGTTTCACCATGTTAGTCAGGCTGGTCTTGAACTGCTGACCTCAAGTGATCCACCTGCCTTAGCCTCCCAAAGTGCTGGGATTACAGGCGTGAGCCACCTCGCCTGGCCTGTTAATGTTTTTATGTGGCACTCTGTCAAAGGCACATGATTCATATCTGTATATGATGCATAGTCCAGAAAGGCTGGGACTTAGCTCTGTGGCTCTTGCCCCAGGTGAGACATAAAAGCTTTCTTGTCCCTTTCCCTCCTGTTTGGGGTCCCATAAGAACTGAAGGGTACAGTTCTCAGACAGCAGTTGGGTCTGAGCATAAAAGCCCATTAATAAGGAGCAGGTGACACTGCCACAGCTGGGTAATTTGTCTCTTTGCTCGTCTGCAGCCCATTTGGTGATGATCTATTTGTCTGAGGGAATGGATGATGGCAGGTTTGTCAATATTTTACACTTATGAACCTGCCTGTTCTTCTCTGCCTGGCTCTGCCCAACTGTCTTTGTCCCTGGCTCCTCTCATTTCGTTTTGCAGATTGGATAACGGACTTCGGCAAAGAGTTATGAAGGTGGATTCCATGAGGGCAGCTTTGGGAAGGGAAGAGGGCAGGAGAGGAGGGGTCGGCTCTCTGCAGGGAGAGGAGGGGTGGGTGGGAGACATGTTCAGGAGAAAAAGATGTCACAGACATAGTGGTGGGCAGAAAGGAACTTCAGAGAGAGAGAGATCCTAGGACAGAGGACAGTGGGGACTCTGGGGAGGCCTTGTAGAAGACAGCTTGAAGAACTGAGTCCAACCCTAATAATTAAGTTGGGCCTAGTACAAAAGCTAATTGTGCTAGCCAGCCTCCAGGATGTCCCACGTGACTCTCGCATGTTGATATTTACACCTATTGGTTAGACATGCAGCCCTGCTCACGTATTGATATTTATATTCTGAGCATGGATGGCGCATGCCTGCAGTCCTAGTGACTCAGGAGGCTGAGTCAGGGGGACTGCTTGAGCCCAGGAGTTGGAGACTTCAGTGAGCTATGATTGTGCCACTGCACTCCAGCCTGGGCAACAGAACAAGACCCTGACTCCTGCAGAGGAGGGCTCCATGTCCAACCAATGGGATGTACAAAAACGACAGTGTGACTTCCAAGGTCAGATCACAAAAGTCCTTGAAGGTTTCACCTTACTGGATCACTTGCTCTGGGGGAAGCCAGCCGCCATGTGGTGAAGACACTCAAGCAGCCCTCTGGAGAAGCCCATGTAGCAAGGAACTGAGGTCTCCTGCCAACTACCAGCGCTAACTTGCCAGGCATGTGAATGACTCACCGTGGAAGGGGATTCTCCAGCCTTGGTCAAGTCTTCAGATGACTACTAACCCAAGCCAATATCTTGATTACAGCCTTGTGAGACCCCCAGAGAAGGAACCGCCCCAGCTAACCACCCACTCCAGAATTCCTGACCCTCAGGAACTGTGTGAGATCATAAATGCTGATTGTTTCAAGCTGCTAAGATTTGGGGTAATTTATTCCATAGTAATTGGAAATTGTCTAAATCTCTATTTGTGGAATTTTTCTTTTTTTCTTTTTTTTTTTTTTAAAGACAAGATCTCCCTCTGTTGCCCAGGCTGGAGTGGCATGGCATGATCATGGCTCACTGAAGCCTTGACTTCTTGGGCTTAGGCAATACTCTGGCCTCAGCCTCCCGAGTAGCTGGGACTACAGGCACACACCACCAGCTAATATTTTAAAATTATTTTTATAGAGATGGGGTCTTCCTATGTTACCCAGGCTGGTCTTAAACTCTGGCCTCAAGTGATCCTCCTGCCTCAGCTTCCCAAAGTGCTGGGATTATAGGTGTGAGCTACTGTGCTCAGCCACATTTTTACTGGTGGAATTTTTTTTTTTTTTTTTTTTTTGGAGACAGGGTCTGACTCTGTCACCCAGGCTGGAGTGCAGTGATATGATATTGGCTTACTGCAACCTCCGCCTCCTGGATTCAAGCCATCCTCCCACCTCAGCCTCCTGAATTGCTGGGACTACAGGTGTGCACCACCACACCCAGTTAATGTTTGCATTTTTTGTAGAGATGGGGTTTTGTCATGTTGCCCAGGTTGGTCTCGAACTCCTGAGCTCAAAGCTATCTGCCCACCTCGGCCTCCCAAAGTGGGATTACAGGCATGAGCTATCCCACCCGGCCTATTGATGGAATTTTATCCTAACTGGTTTGCTGACCAGAATACAGCAACTGGTTTGCTACACAGAATGAATGGTCTGTGGGTAAGGACAGTTCACATCAGGTGCCCAGTTAACCAGCATTGTATGTCACTGAGTGCCACAAAGAGAGCCCAGTTCCACCCTCACTCTTTTTTTTTCTTTTTCTTTTTTTTTTTTTTTTGAGATGGAGTTTTGCTCTTGTTGCCCAGGCCGGAGTGCAATAGCGCACTCTGGGCTCACCACAACCTCCGCCTCCCAGGTTCAAGCGATTCTCCTGCCTCAGCTTCTCGAGTAGCTGGGATTACAGGCACGTGCCACCATGCCCAGCTAATTTTGTAGTTTTAGTAGAGACGGGGTTTCTCCACATTGGTCAGGCTAGTCTCGAACTCCTGACCTCAGGTGATCTGCCCACCTTGGCCTCCCAAAGTGCTGGAATTACAGGCGTGAGCCACCGTGCCCGGCATACCCCTTTTCTTTTAGAGTGAACGTCTTGTTCTGTTGTTCAGGCTGGAGTGCAGTGGCATGACCATAGCTCACTGCAGCCTCCAACTCCTGGGCTCAAGCAGTGCTCCCACCTCAGCCTCCTGAATAGCTGGGACTACAGGCACACATTACCATACCCAGTTCATTTTTAAAAATTTTTAGTAGAGACAAGGGTCTCACTATGTTGCCCAGGTTGGTCTTGAAATCCTGGCCTCAAGTAATCCTCCTGCCTGGGCCTCCCAGTGTGCTGCGATTACATGTGTGAGCCACTGAGCTTGGACCCCATCCCTGCTCTCTTTCTTCCTTTCCTTTTCCTTTTCCTTTCCTTTCTGTCTTTCTTTCTTTTGTTTTTTTGTTTTGTTTTGTTTTTTTGACACGGAGTCTTGCTGTGTTGCCCAGGCTGGAGTGTAGTGGCATGATCTTGGCTCATTGCAACCTCCACCTCCTAGGTTCAACTGATTATCCTGCCTCAGCCTCCCGAGTAGCTGGGACCACAGGCACCTGCCACCACACCCGGCTAATTTTTGTATTTTTGGTAGAGATGAGGTTTCACCACATTGGCCAGGCTGGCCTTGAACTCCTGACCTCAGGTGATCCACCCACCTCGGCCTCCCAAAGTGCTGGGATTACAGGCGTGAGCTACCTCGCCCAGACCCCAGCTCCCTTTCAAGGAGGGTAAATAGGGCCAGGCACGGTGGCTCACGCCTGTAATCCCAGCACTTTGGGAGGCCAAGGCGGGCGGATCACGAGGTCAGGAGATCGAGACCATCCTGGCTAACACAGTGAAACCCCGTCTCTACTAAAAATACAAAAAAAAATTAGCTGGGCGTGGTGGTGGGCACCTGTAGTCCCAGCTAGACGGGAGGCTGAGGTAGGAGAATGGCCTGAACCTGGGAGGCAGAGCTTGCAGTGAGCCGAGATTGCGCCACTACACTCCAGCCTGGGCAACAGAGCGAGACTCCATCTCAAAAAAAAAAAAAAAAAAAAAAAAAAGGAGGGTAAATAGATTTAGTTAAGCAAGGAAAAGATTCTGGGATGGAGTGGGTATATCTCCTGGGGAGAGAACTAGGGCCGTAATTGGGGTGACCAAAGGTTCTGGCTTGTCCAGGACTGAGGGGTTTTCTGGGATGGAGGACTTTCAGTGCTAAAACTGAGAAAGTCCAGGATAAACTGGGATATGTGGTTGCCCTAGCTGAGGTGGGAGTAGGGGCCTTGAGGTTGCCCTTCTAGTCAGCGGCCACACTGTGGTTCATGTGGGTTGGGGAGGGATGCCCATATCCCATCTCTCCCAGGCAGGGGTGGAAGCATGCTCCCAGCACCACCTTTTTTCACCCTCCTGCCCTATTTGGCTGGACAGAGATGGAAAACCCTTCTTAGAAATGCTAAGACCCACAGGAGGAGGCTGCAGGTCAGTCCTCCCTCATTCTCCTCACCTGGGAGGCAGTGTGAGGCAGCCAGGAATGCCAAGGCTTTGGTGAGAGCCTCTCACCCTAAACCACCAAGGCCGGCTCCTCCCTGTCCTTGGGTCCAGCTTGCTGTGGCCTGACTGCCAAATGCCCTCTACCACATAGCCAACGTGCTGCTACTCGGCCTCTGTTGACACAATTCAATGACATGCCACCAAGGCAGCCCATTCCATTGTTAGAAAATTATTCCAGCCAGGTGCGGTGGCTCACACTTGTAATTCCAGCACTTTGGGAGGCTGAGGTGGGTGGATCATTTGAGGTCAGGAGTTCAAGACCGGCCTGGCCAATGTGGTGAAATCCCATCTCTACTAAAAATACAAAAATTAGCTGGATGTGGTAATGCAAGCCTGTAATCCCAGCTATGCGGGAGGCTAAAGCAGGATAATCGCTTGAGCCTAGGAGGTGGAGGTTGCAGTGAGCTGAGATCACGCCATTGCACTCCAGCCTGGGCGACAGAGTGAGACCCTGTCTCAAAAAAAAAAAAAAAAAAAAGAGAAACAAAATTATTCCTGTACTGAATGAGAGGCTGCCATCACATAATCTCCACCCATTCATTATATTCAACTGTGCTTTCTTCCTGGAAGAGCCCTCAACACACACCCCTCATTTTTTTTTTTTTTTTTTTTTTTTTGAGACAGAGTATTGCTGTCACCCAGGCTGGAGTGCAGTGGCACAATCTCCACTCACTGCAACCTCTGCCTCCTGGGATCAAGCCATTCTCATACTTCAGCCTCCAGAGTAGCTGGGACCACAGGTGTGGCTACCATGACTGGCTAACTTTTTGTATTTTTAATAGAGATCGGGTTTTGCCATGTTGGCCAGACTGGTCTCAAACTCTTGGCCTTAATTGATCCACCTGCCTCGGCCTCCCAAAGTGCTGGGATTACAGGCGTGAGCCACCGCGCCTGGCCTCTGGCAGCCCCTTCACATACTGAGTACACATTGCTTCCTCTGAGTTTCCGCTGGTCCTTCCCTCTCTCCTGGCAGACTCCTACTCATCCTTTGAAGCTCAGGTCCAAAGTCAGGTTGGCGGAGGTGGTCACTTCCACCACTCCACAGTCAGTCTGCCACGCTGGGTTCCTAAGGAAAGAGCTGCTCCCACCACATGACACCATTTGCTGTGCTTCCATCAACCCACCTGGGTTTTTCCTGAGTGGCTTTGACTGGGGACTCTGCTAAGATCATACTGACTTTGATTTTTTTTTTTTTTTCGAGATGGAATCTCTATCACCCAGGCTGGAGTGCAGTGGCGCGATCTTGGCTCACTGCAACCTCTGCCTCCTGGGTTTAAGCCATGTTCCTGACTCAGTCTCCGGAGTAGCTGGGGTTACAGGTGTGCGTCACCATGCCATGCCTGGCTAATTTTTGTATTTTTATTTTTTATTTTATTTATTTGTTTGTTTTGTTGAGACGGAGTTTCGCTCTTGTTTCCCAGGCTGGAGTGCAATGGCGCGATCTTGGCTCACTAAAATCTCTGCCTCCTGGGTTCAAGTGATTCTCCTGCCTCAGCCTCCTGAGTAGCTGGGATTGCAGGCACATGCCACCACATCCGGCTAATTTTTATATTTTTAGTAGAGATGGGGTTTCATCATATTGATCAGGCTGGTCTCGAACCCCTGACCTCAGGTGATTCCCCTGCCTTGGCCTCCCAAACTGCTGGGATTACAGGCATGAGCCACTGCGCCCGGCCTAATTTTTGTATTTTTAGTAGAGATGGGGTTTCACCATGTTGGCCAGGCTGGTCTCGAACTCCTGACCTCAGGTGATCCACCCACCTTGGCTTCCCAAAGTGCTGGATTTACTGGCATGAGCCACCGCACCCAGCCTGATTTATTTATTTAATTAAAAAATCATAACTCACTACAGCCTGGACCTCCTACCTCAAGTGATTTTCCTGCCTCAGCCTCCTGAGTAGCTGGGACTACAGGTGTGTGCTACCATGCTCAGCTAATTTTTTGAATTTTCATAGATCCTCCTGCCTTGGCCTCCCAAAGTGCTGGGATTACAGGCATGAGCCACCACACGTGGTCCTAATCTTAAAATTATTATTATTTTTTTATAGAGACTGGGTCTTGCTCTGTTGCCCAGGCTGGAGCGCAGTGGTGCAATCATGGCCTGGCCTCCACTCCCCCCATGCCAAGCATAACAGGAGGCAACCACTAGTCAGTGGGTGGACATTCTTTTGGGGAGCTGTCCCTGCCCCTTTGGAAGTGGATAGAGCCCCTGCCCCCTGTGGGGTCTGCAGGCTCTCCACCCCTGCCAATGTCTGTGATCTGGGGGATTGTGGGCTGAGAAGGGATTAGTTTAGAGGGCGGGCAAAAGAGCTGGGCAGGGCAGAAAGAGGCCCCAGGATTTTCAGGCAGAGAAGTCAAAGGGGGATGAAAAGGGGAAAGGAGATGGTGGAGATAAAGTGTCTGCAGCTGACAGCCTTGCCCCTGTCTTCACTTGTAAGGAAGTTTGTTTCTTTGATGGTGATAAACCTGGCATGTGAATGCCTTTCCCCAGAGAATGCACCACAGAGGAGCACGTAACGTTGTATACAATTTCAGGGGGCTTACTGATGCAACCCCTTTGCAGAAATTTTAACAGTGAGAAAATTATGACAGTGAAAGTGATCTGACCTAACCGACTCCATTTTGCTTCTAACCCCCAAACTGTCCATATTCATTCCTGGGCATAGGCCAAACTTACAGTCTTTTTGTTTGTTTTTTGAGACGGAGTTTCGCTCTTGTTGCCCAGGCTGGAGTGCAGTGGCGCGATCTCGGCTCACTGCAACCTCTGCCTCCAGGGTTCAAGAGATTCTCCTGCCTCAGCCTCCCGAGTAACTGGGATTACAGGTGCCCGCCACCATGCCTGGCTAATTTTTTTGTATTTTTAGTAGAGACGGGGTTTCACCCTGTTGGCCAGGCTGGTCTTGAACTCTTGACCTAAACTTCTGATCCACCTTTGCCTCCCAAAATGCTGGGATTACAGGCATGAGCCACCATGCCCGGCAGCAAATTTATAGTTCAACTTTGAAACAAAGATAACAGCCCTCTCCCAAAATAAACCCCTTTCTTGCCTGGGGACCAGACTGCTTTTGTAAGACTAACAAATTAGCCACGAGATTAGAAATTACGGTTTAGGAGTCATGCAGGTAGTGGCCACAGATTCTAAACCTCCCCAGTTGCTCCTAGGGATAACATCACTACTGTAAAACCTAAGATTGGTGCTCAAGATATTTTTCCGATCCTGCACTCAATGGATCCGCTGGCGATACACAGATTAAGAAACCGGATCATCCGGTTTTGTGGCCCCCACCCAGAGATCCACTCAGCACAAGAGGACGGCTTCCACTCCCTATGATTGCATCTCCGACCTGACCAATCAGCACTCTCCACTCTCTGGCCCCTACCCACCAAATTATCCTTAATAAAACCCAGTCTCCGAATTTTCAGGGAGACTGATTTGAGTAATAATAAAACTCCGGTCTCCCATTCAGCCGGCTCTGCATGAATTAAACTCTTATTGCAATTCCTCTGTCTTGATAAATCCGCTGTCTGGGAAACGGGCAAAATGAACCCATGGGGTGGTTACACTGACCCTCTGCTGCACATCCCGGACAGCCTTGTTAAGAACCCTTGGTAGGCTGGGCATGGTGGCTCACGCCTGTAATCCCAGCACTTTGGGAGCACGAGGCAGGCAGATCACGAGGTCAGGAGATCGAGACCATCCTGGCTAACACGGTGAAACCCCGTTTCTACTAAAAATACAAAAAATTAGCTGGGCGTGGTGGCAGACGCCTGTAGTTCCAGCTACTCGGGAGGCTGAGGCAGGAGAATGGCGTGAACCCAGGAGGCGGAGCTTGCAGTGGGCCGAGATCGCGCCACTGCGCTCCAGCCTGGGCGACAGAGCGAGACTCCGTCTCAAAAAAAAAAAAAAAAAAAAAAAGAACCCTTGGTATTATTGTTCCACGCTCCCATTTTACCGAGGTGGATCCTGAGGCCCAGAGTGGGCAAAGGGCTTGCCAAGGTCGCAGAGCGCGCAGAGGATTAGAACCCTGACTTCCGTCCAGCACCTGCGGAGTTGGAGACGCCCACAGGAAACGCCCACCTGACCGGGTGAGTGAGGGGGCGGGCGAGCCGGAGGGGTGGAGTTTATTCGCGCCCCGCCTCCGCCACCAGGGCTTGGGGGCGGGGCCTTCCTGCAACCTTTGCGGCTCCAACATGGCTCCGCGGCTGTGCAGCATCTCTGTGACGGCGCGGCGGCTGCTGGGGGGCCCGGGGCCTCGCGCTGGGGACGTTGCGTCTGCAGCTGCGGCGCGGTGAGAGCCCGGCCAGGCAGGGATAGACGCGCGCGGGGTGGGGTGCAGGCGCGGGGGCCAGGGACTGGGTCGTGGGGGAGGGGCTGAGACTCCTCGCTTGGAATCTGGGGGTTAGAGGCGGGGCAGGATCAAGGCCTAGGGAGGGGTCTGGGCAAAGAATGGGGGAGGTGAGAAAGGGATGGGTAGGGTCTTTGTCCTGGTTGGGACCGGGCTGTGATGGGGACCTGATGAAAGATGGTGAGAAGGGCAGGTACTGGGCCCTGGAGAGTGGGAGAGGGCAGAAGACAGGAGGAGTGGCCCATTCCCAGGCGTAGCTTGTGATTTAACACCCACTGGGGGCTTCTGGTAGTCAGCTCCTCCGTCGGGAAGTTCTGTGGGAAAGAGATGATGGCAGGGGAGCAGTGGGGGATCCCCAGGGGCCATGGCTGCACAGACCCTTTGTTCCTCCACCTCGAACTGTACAGGTGGGGAAACGGACCTGAGAGGGAATGGGAGTTGTCCAAGGTCACCCTCCCTGCTGTGCCGTGGCAGCACCAGGTCTGGGACCCAGGCCTGCCAATGCGCCATGCACTTTGCACCCAACTGGTGGCCTCCTGGGAGTGGGAGTCTGGCTGGGCCATGTGCTCTCAGCCTGGGCTTTTGTTTGGGCCCTGCTCTGGGCTGAGCTAGGGCTTGGCCTCCCTGACTGGCCCTGGGCAGCCCCTCACTCCTTGGTCCCCACAGCCCTGTACTTCCCCCATCTCTGCATATATGACCCTGCACAGTTATGACTTGGTGCTTGTCTGTCTCTCTCACTAGACCATGATCTCATTTTTCTCTGTTTCCCCAGCCTCCCACCCTCAGAGGGCTCAGGACTGTGTATGGTCAAGGAATATTTACCAAAGAAGTGAGGCCACCTGTTCCCCCTCCCCCAACCTGTGAAAAGGAAGCAACCATCCCTCCTGCCCTGCAGCCCAGGAATGAAGCTGCAAAGTTCTGATAGTGCCTGCCATGAGATGTTACAGCACAGAGCAGTGGGGCTTTTGGACAGCTGGGAAAGAGGAGTGGCATAAGCGCCCCACCTAGACTGCCCAATAATTAGGGATAAAGCTGACACCGTGGGAAAAGCCTAGAGTTTGCCTGGCACTAACAGATCTAACTCAGACTTTGTAGGTGGGGTGACCTCAGGACTCTTTAAGCCTCGGGTTCCTCATCTGTAAAATGGGAGTAATCAGGATGTATCTCATAGGGTTGTTGAGGATTAAAGATGCTGTGGTTGGTCGGGTATGGTGGCTCATGCCTGTAATCCCAGCACTTTGGGAGGCCGAGGCAGGCAGATCACTTGAGGTCAGCAGTTCAAGACCAGCTTGGCAACACGGCGAGATCCTGTCTCTATAAAAAGTACAAAAATGGCCGGGCGCGGTGGCTCACGCCTGTAATCCCAGCACTTTGGGAGGCCGAGGCGGTGGATCACGAGGTCAGGAGATCGAGACCATCCTGGCTAACACGGTGAAACCCCATCTCTACTAAAAATACAAAAAATTAGCTGGGCGCGGTGGCAGGCGCCTGTAGTCCCAGCTACTCAGGAGGCTGAGGCAGGAGAATGGCGTGAACCCAGGAGGCGGAGCTTGCAGTGAGCCGAGATCCTGCCACTGCACTCCAGCCTGGGCGACAAGAGTGAGACTCTGTCTCAAAAAAAAAAAAAAAAAAAAAAAAGTACAAAAATTTCACCATGTTGGTGAAAACGTGTCTCTACTAAAAATACAATTAGCTGGGTGTGATGGCTCACCCCTGTAATCCCAGCTACTAGGAAGCTGAGGCAGGAGAATCAATTGAACCCGGGAGACAGAGGTTGCAGTGAGCCGAGATCACGCTACTGCACTCCAACCCGGGTGACAGAGCGAGACTCCGTCTACAAAAAAAAAAGATTCCGTGGTTGTGAAGTGTCTAGCACTTGACGAACATGCAGTAAGTGTTGCTCCTTAACCCCTAGCCTATGTTTCAAGCAATTTCTGCATGTGACCCACATAATGTTGAGGCTCAAAGGGCTCTGGGAAGATCATCTTTTATGAGCCCTTTGTTTTCCAGATAAAAATATCAAGATTGGGGAAGGGACAGAATGGATTGGTGGTAAAACCATTTGTGTGGCAAACACCCAGAGGCTGTAAAAGGAGCATGGGTCTCAGAGTCAGCCTGCTGCCCCTCACTCAGTGACCCTGGATGAGTTGCTGAACCTCCGTCAGCCTCAGTTTCCTTTTCTGTAAAGTGGGGATGTTGGTGTTTTCGGCAGGATTGCTATGAAGCCACTTGAATTAATGTTTATCAAGTCCCTCAAGGACTGTCTTGCAGTTACTTATACCTTAATTCCACATTGGATACCTGAGAACACTCTGTCCTGCTGCCCCTCAGGCTGCCCCATATCTCTCCAGAGTCACTAGTAGGGCCAGCAGCAGCCCTTCTGGCCTGTGAGGTTTGGGGGCAATGAGGCTGCTGGGGTGGGGATGGAGTGTGGGCTTTGAAATCAGATGGACCTGGGCCAGGCACCATTGCTCACGCCTGTAATCCCAACACTTCGGTAGGCCAAGGTGGGAGGATTGCTTGAACCCAGGAGTTTGAGACCAGCCTGGGCAACATGGCGAGATCCTGTCTCTATAAAAAATACAAAAATTTGGCCAGGCACAGTGGGTCATGCCTGTAATCCCAGCACTTTAGGAGGCTGAGGCGGGTGGATCACCTGAGGCCAGGAGTTCAAGACCAGCTTGGCCAACATGGTGAAACCCCATCTCTACTAAAAACACAAAAATTAGCCAGGCCAGGCCTGGTGACTCCCACCTGTAATCCTAGCACTTTGGGAGGCCCAGGCAGGCGGATCATGAGGTCAGGTATTCAAGACCAGCCTGGCCAACATGGTGAAACCCCGTCTTTATTAAAAATACAAAAATTAGCTGGGCATGGTGTGTGCGCCTGTAATCCCAGCTACTCTGGAGGCTGAGGCAGGAGAATCGCTTAAACCAGGGAGGTGGAGGTTGCAGTGAGCTGAGATCGCACCAGTGCACTCCAGCCTGGGTGATAGAGCAAGACTCTGTCTCAAAAAAAAAAAAAAAAAAAAATTAGGCATGGTGGTGTGTTCCTGTATTCCCAGCTATTCTGGAGGCTGAGGCAGGAGAATCGCTTGAACTGGGGAGCTGGAGGTTGCAGTGAGCCAAGATCGCGCCACTGCACTCCAGCCTGGGCAACAGAGGGAGACTCCGTATCAAAAAAACAAAACAAAACAAAACAAAACAAAAAAACATGCCGGGTGCGTTGGCTCACACCTGTAATCCCAGCACTTTGGGAGGCCGAGGCGGGCAGATCACCTGAGGTCAGGAGTTCGACCTGGCCAACGTGGTGAAACCCTGTCTCTACTAAAAATACAAAAATTAGTTGGGCGTGGTGGCAGATGCCTGTAATCCCAGCTACTTGGGAGACTGAGACAGGAGAATCACTTGAACCCAGGGGGCGGAGGTTGCAGTGAGCTGAGATCGTACCATTGCACTCCAGCCTGGGGAACAAGAGCGAGACTTCGTCTCAAGAAAAAAAAAAAAAATTAGCCAGGCATGGTGACACATGTCTATAGTCCCAACTACTCCGGAGGCTGAGGCAGGAGAATCCCTTGAACCTGGGAGGTGGAAGTTGCAGTGAGCCGAGATCGTGCCATTGCACTCCAGCCTGGGCAACAGAGTAAGACTCCATCTCAAACAACAACAAAAATTAGCCAGACGTGGTGGTGCTCACCTGTGGTCTCAGCTACTTGGGAGGCTGAAGTGGGAGGATCATTTGAGTCTGGGAGATAGAGGATGCAGTGAGCCATGATTGTGTCACTGCACTCCAGCCTGGGTGACAGAGTGAGACCCTGTCTCGAAAAAAGAAAAAAAAAATAGAAGAAAAAAGAAAGATGAAGCTGAGCTAGGATCAAAACCTGGATTTGTCCAGAGCTTGTGCTCATAAGCACTAGTTCTGCTGTTGGTGTTAAGGATGGAAAGGACCCCTGATCCCTGAGTGAAGTCACTCTGGGTCAAGGTCTACCTTTTTTTTTTTTTTTGAGACGGAGTCTCATTCTGTCAGCCAGGCTGGAGTGCAGTGGCGCGATTTCGGCTCACTGCAACCTCTGCCCTCTGAGTTCAAGCGATTCTCCTGCCTCAGCCTCCCAAGTAGCTGGGATTACAGGCGCCTGCCACCGCACCCAGCTAATTTTTTGTATTTTTAGTACAGACGGGGTTTCACCATCTTGGCCAGGCTGGTCTTGAACTCCTGACCTTGTGATCCACCCGCCTCGGCTTCCCAAAGTGCTGGGATTACAGGCGTGAGCCACCACGCCCAGCCTAAGGTCTACCATTTCTTTTGTTTCATACTTTTCAGCTTTCATCATTTTCATGCAAGAATGTCTTAGCTCCTCTTTCATTCATTTCTCAAACTTGGACTGCATTCTCACCATGTGCCCAGCACTGCTCCAAGCATAGGGGATACAGCAGGGATACAACAGAACAGACAAGGATTCTGCCCCGCTAGGGCTGCCTCCAGTTTAGAGACTGACAATAAACAAAGCACATAATAAGCCAAAAAGTATAGTGTTTTTTTTTGTTTTTAATTTTTAGTAGAGATGAGGTCTTGCTATGTTTCCCAGGCTGGTCTCAAACTCCTGGGTTCGGCCGGGCATGGTGGATCATGCCTGTAATCCCATCACTTTGGGAGGCCAAGTCAGGCAGATCACTTGAGGTCAGGAGTTCGAGACCAGCCTGACCAACATGGTGAAACCCCGTCTCTACTAAAACATACAAAAATTAGCCGGGTGTGGTAGCACGCACCTGTAGTCCCAGCTACTCGGGAGGCTGAGGCAAGAGAATCGCTTGAACCCAGGAGGTGGAGGTTGCAGTGAGCTGAGATTACGCCACTGCACTCCAGCCTGGGCAACAGAGTGAAACTCCATCTCAAAAAAATACAAAAAAAAAAAAAGGCCAAGTGTGGTAGCTCATGTCTGTAATCCCAGCACTTTGGGAGGCTGAGGCAGGAGGATCACCTGAGGTCAAGAGTTCGAGACCAGCCTGGCTAACATGGTGAAAACCCATCTCTACTAAAAATAAAAAATTAGCTGGATGTGGTGGCACATGCCTGTAGTCCCAGCTACTTGAGAGGCTGAGGCTGGAGAATTGCTTGAACCTGGGAGGCGGAGGTTGCAGTGAGCCCAGATCACGCCACTGCACTACAGCCTGGACGACAGACTGAGACTCCATCTCAAACAAAACAAAAAAAAAAAAACAACTCCTGGGTTCAAGCAATCCTTCCCTCTTGCGTCAGCCTCCCAAAGTGCTGGGATTATAGGCATGAGCCACTGGGCTAATCCTAGTATAGCGTTTTAGAACGTGCTCTGGAACAAGATAGAGAGCAGGAAGAGAGGGCTTGGGGAGGTCAAGGGTAGGAGAACATTGTAATTTCACTGAGAAAGTGACATTTGTACTCTTGCAGATGTACCCTTGGGGATGCTGGCTTGGAGTTCAAACCCTCCTCTGAGATCTTTGACAAGCTCCTTCTTGGATTTTACCTGTAGAAAACAGCTTTAGGGATGGGCTCCACCACCCTGCTCATTTGACAGATGGGGAAACTGAGGCCCACAGGCAGGAAGGATTAGAGTAGTGGGAAGAGACGGGAGCCCATCAGAGCTCCTGAAGTTTCCAGTGTTCCAGCCCCTAATCTCTTTCTTCAGGGCTGGCTATTTGACTGATATTTATCTTGGTCAGTGCTGATGTTAATAAATTACTCTGTCTAGTCCTTTCTAGAGCAAAGGTCTTGGTTGATAAATAGTAGGAGCTGCTCTCCTCACTGCCCATCTCCCTCCAGGGGAAGCAGCCCCTCTACATTAAAACCAAAGGTCAGGTCCCTCAGTGCCCAACCTGAGGTGGGGATTGGCTTTCAAGGAAAGAGCGCTGGGTTCTTAACTCTGCCCTCTGATTTTCTGTGCGGCCTTGGGCAAGTCCCTTAAACTCTCTGGGCTTCTTTCCATTTTATCCTCGCGAGAATGGGAATACTAATAGTACCAATACTATAAGATCATTGCATAGAATCAGTGAGATCCTGCAACTGAAAAGTACATCACAGATCCCTGGCTTAGAGCCTCCCTTATTCTGGTCCAAAAACTTCACAGACCGCACTACCCATCTAATGATAATTGTCTTTTTTTTTTTTTTTTTTTGAGACAGAGTTTCGCTCTTGTAGCCCAGTCTGGAGTGCAATGGCACGATCTCAGCTCACTGCAACCTCCGCCTCCCGGGTTCAAGTGATTCTCCTGCCTCAGCCTCCCGAGTAGCTGGGATTACAGGATTGCACCACCATGCCCAGCTAATTTTTGTATTTTTAGTAGAGACTGAGTTTCACCATGTTGGCCAGGCTAGCCTCAAACTCCTGACCTCAGGCAATCCGCCCGCCTCGGCCTCCCAAAGTGCTGGGATTACAGGCATGAGCCACCGCACCAGGCTGATAATTGTCTTTTTGCTAATGAAGCAGATGCATGTACAATGATCGAGAGAGTTCATGAATTCAGAAATGCTTAACACACTTTAAAATCTTTATAAAAAATTACAATGAATAAAGAAAAATTTAGCCATCTCCTATTCCTCTTTCCCAGGTAAGCAGTATTAACAGTTTGGGACAAGTAATTTATTTTCTTTTCTTTTTCTTTCTTTTTTTTTTTTTTTTTTTTTTTTTTTTTTTGTGAAGATGGAGTCTCACTCTGTCATCCAGGCTGGCGTGCAGTGGCGTGATCTTGGCTCACTGCAGCCTCCGCCTCCTGGATTCAAGCAGTTCTGCCTCAGTCTCTCGAGTAGCTGGGACTACAGGCACACATCACCACTCCTGGCTAATATTTTGTATCTTTTTTTAAGTGGAAATGGGGTTTTGCCATGTTGCCCAGGCTAGTCGTGAACTCCTGAGCTCCAGCAATCTGCCCGCCTCAGCCTCCCAAAATGCTAGGATTACAGGCATGAGCCACCATGCCCAGCCTCTTTTTTTGTTTTGTTTTGTTTTGTTTTGTTTTTTGAGACAGGGTCTGCTCTGTTGCCCAGGCTGGAGTGCAGTGGCCCGATCTCAGCTTGCTGCAACCTACGCCTCCTGGGTTCAAGCGATCTTCCCACCTCAGCCTCCTGAGTAGCTGGGACTACAGGCGCACTTGACACTCGACCACACCTGGCTAATTTTTTTTTTTTTTGAGACAGAGTTTCACTCTTGTTGCCCAGGCTGGAGTGCAATGGCCTGATCTCGGCTTACTACAACCTCCACCTCCTGGGTTCAAGCAATTCTCCTGCCCCAGCCTCCTGAGTAGCTGGGATTACAGGCATGCACCACCACGCCTGGCTAATTTTGTATTTTTAGTAGAGATGGGGTTTCTCCATGTTGGTCAGGCTGGTCTCAAACTCCCGACCTCAGGTAATCCACCCGCCTTGGCCTCCTAAAGTGTTGGGATTACAGGCGTGAGCCACCGTACCCAGCAATTTTTTTATTTATTGCAGAGACAGGGCTTCAGACTCCTGAGCTCAAGTGATCCGCCTGCCTCGGCCTCCCAGAGTGCTGGAATTATAGGCGTGAGCCACCATGCCCGGCCCATTTCTCATTTTTATGCTTATACAAACATATCACCACTTTGGCCCAGCGCAGTGGCTCATGCTTGTAATCCTAGCACTTTGAGAGGCCGAGGCAGGTGGATCATGAGGTCGAGAGATCGAGACCATCCTGGCCAACATAGTAAAACCCCGTCTCTACTAAAAATACAAAAATTAGCTGGGCGTGGTGGCACACGTCTGTAGTCCCAGCTACTTGGGAGGCTGAGGCAGGAGAATCACTTGAACCCGGGAGGTGGAGGTTGCAGTGAGTGGAGATCATACCACTTTACTCCAGCCTGGCGACAGAGCAAGACTCCATCTCAAATACAAACAAATGAACAAAACAAAACAAACATATCACCACTTTAAGATTATTTTTAAAAAGAAATTTTTTTTTTTTTTGAGACATGGTCTCTGTCACCCAGGCTGGAGTGCAGTGGCCTGATCATAGTTCATTGTAGCCTTGATTTCCTGGGCTTCATGCGATCCTCCTAAGTCTCTCAAGTGGCTGAGACTACAGGCATGTGTCACCACACCCGGCTAATTATTGTATTTTATTTTATTTTATTTTATTTTTTTGAGATAGAGTCTCACTCTGTTGCCCAAGCTGGAGTACAGTGGCAAGATCTTGGCTCACTGCAGCCTCAACCTCCCAGGCTCAAGTGATCCTACCACCTCAGCCTCCCAAGTAGTGGGACTACAGGCACATACCGTCATGCCCAGCTAATTTTATTTTTTGTAGAGACACGGTCTCACAAGTTTCCCCAGGCTTGTCTCATGGCCTCAAGCAATCCTCCTGCCTCAGCCTCCCAAAGTGCTGGGATTACAGGCATAAGCCAGTCATATTTATTATTTTTTTTGTAGAGATGGAGTCTCATTTTGTTGCCCAGGCTGATCTTGAACTCCTGGGCTCAAGTGATCCTCTGACCTCAGCCTCCCAAAGTACTGGGATTACAGGCATTTAGCCATCGTGCCCAGCTGATTTTATCCGTCCCAATGGCTGCTCCATATTTTGGAAAAAATTGATTGATTTTTTATTTGCAAGACATTTGTCCTTTTTTTTTTTTTTTTTTTTGAGATGGATTCTCGCTCTGTTGCCCAGGCGGGAGTGTGATGGTGCGATCTTGGCTCACTGCAACCTCTGCCTCTCAGGTTCAAGCAATTCTCCTGCCTCATGCTCCTGAGTAGCTGGGATTACAGGTGCACACCACCACGCCTGGCTGATTTTTGTATTTTTAGTAGAGACAGGGTTTCGCCATGCTGGGCAGGCTGGTCTCGAACTCCTGACCTCAGGTGATCTGCCTGCCTTGGCCTCCCAAAGTGCTGGGATTGCAGGCGTGAGCCATCACACCCAGCCTAAGACATTTGTCTAACCACATAAAAGTCTTAAAAAGGGATAGGGCAGCCGAGTATTTGTATTGTAAAAATACGAAAATTACCTGGATGTGGTGGTACGCGCCTGTAATCTCAGCTACTCAGGAGGCTGAGGCAGGAAAATTGCTTGAACCCGGGAGGCCGAGGTTGCAGTGAGCCGAGATCGCACCACTGCACTCCAGCCTGAGCAACAAGAGCAAGACTCTGTCTCAAAAAAAAAGAAAAGAAAAAAAGAAAAGAAAGGATAGGGCTTCCTGTGACCTCACTTGGAAAAAACAAAAGAGAAAAAAGAAAAAAGGGATAAGGCTTGCTGCCACTCAGGGATCCCTCTTGCCAGGCTCCCTGGCTAGGAATTGTCTCCATTGGGAGACTTCCTTTTCAGGCCTGGCTGCAAGCTGCACCAAGGCTGTGGAGCGGGAAGATTGGTAGTCTCAAAATAAGCACCCCTGCCTCCTGCTGGGACCTTGGGTATGTGTTTAGGATGGGAGTGCAGTTCTGGTCCAGTAGGAGCTGGCAGCAGACCCTCCACTGCCCTTAACCACAGTGCTCATGGGCAAAGCACATAATCATATTCATTGATCATTCATTCATTCATTCTCAGTATCCTATGGAGATGGGCAGAGCAGGTGTTGGCTGGATGAGTGAATGCATCTTGCTTTGCAGTGCCTTTTACTCCCTCTATCTGCCAAACCAGTCCTGGGGACTGACCAGCTCATCTCCTCCTCTGTAGAGAGTCTGCCCAGGTTGCCAGAAGCAGAGTTAAGGCTAGTTCACCTGGGCTCTTCCAGAGACCCCTCCTATAATTGTGTCCCAAGGCCCATTTCTCCTAGTGGACTATGAGCTCCTCAAGGACAAAGCTTATTTGTATTTGGCTTTCCATGTGTGGGGTCAGGGTGGGGACATGGGCCAAGTGCACTGTGAGAGTGCTGGGGAGGACGGTGAGAGCAGTCTTCTCGTTAGAGGGGACAGAACTTGTACAGAAAGCACAGAGTAGCAGATCCTGGTGTGTTCAGGGAAGAGCACACCTGGAGAGTGAGGTGTACAGGTGAGGGGGCAGGAGGGGAGGCTGACAAGTTAGGTTGGGTTGTCAAGGGCTTTGGGCATGATGCAAGGTGGATTTGGGGTTGATCCTCTTGGCGAGAGGCTGGAGTTATATGACCCAAGTAGAGGACCTCTTGGAAGGGGGATGAAGTGGAGGCAGGGAGGCTAGAGAGAGAAGTGGGAGGTGGGGCTGCCTCTCCTGGCGTCCTGAGGCTCTGCAAAGCTTCAAGAAGCCAACTGGGCAGCTGGAATATCTGTAGAAAGGAGCTGGCTCCAATAGCATTTCACAGTCTGGAGCTGCCACAGGACTCCGTGGCCCTGTTCCCAGAAATGTGGGTCACTGGTCTAGGGGAGCAGGACATCCAAGTGGATGGAATTGCTGGGGCTCCCCCAACCTCCGCGCGTCCCCCTCAACTCCTCTGTCCTGCAGTTTCTATTCCAAGGACAATGAAGGCAGCTGGTTCCGCTCCCTCTTTGTTCACAAAGTGGATCCCCGGAAGGATGCCCACTCCACCCTGCTGTCCAAGAAGGAAACCAGCAACCTCTATAAGATCCAGTGTGAGTGGCTGCTGAGCTGACCAATTTCTGCCCTTTCAGGGGCTCTGGGGGCCTGTGAGGCTCCAGGAAGGAGATGGGAGGGTCTGGAATGTCCTCAGCTGTCCTGGGACCCCTGGCCTTGATGGGCTCCCCTCACCCCAAGTTCTTCCCTGTGTACACACCCTACCTCACTTCTTGTTCTCTGTCCTCTGTTGCAGTTCACAATGTAAAGCCTGAATACCTGGATGCCTACAACAGCCTCACGTGAGCACCCTGCATCCATACATCCCATCCCCTGCTTGGGTGGGGAACACACTTTCAGCAAATTTGCGGAACATCCTCCACCCTGTTCTTTTCTGTAGAAATCCAGGAGATGTAGATTTCTTTTATTTCTGCCTTTTTCTTTCTTTCTTTCTTTCTCTCTTTCTTTTTTTTTGAGATGGAGTTTTGCTCTCGTTGCCCAGGCTGGAGTGCAATGGCGCGATCTCGGCTCACTGCAACCTCTGCCTCCCAGGTACAAGCGATTCTCCTGTTCCAGCCTCCCAAGTAGCTCGGATTACAGGCATGCGCCGCTAAGCATGGCTAATTTTTTTGTATTTAGTAGAGACAGGGTTTCACCATGTTAGTCCGGCTGGTCGCAAACTCCTGACCTCAGGTGATCCACCTGCCTCGGCCTCCGAGTGCTGGGATTACAGGCATGTGCCACTGCGTTTGGCCCCATTTTCTTTCTTTCTTTTTTTTTTTTTTAAGAGATGGTCTCCAGGAGGCGGAGGTTCCAGTGAGCCGAGATTGCGCCATTGCACTCCAGCCTGGGCAACAAGAGCAAAACTCTGTCTCACACACAAAAAAGAGAGATGGGATCTCACTTTGCTTCCCAGGCTGGTCTCAAACTACTGGGCTCAAGCAATCCTCCTGCCTCAGCCTCCCAGTGTTGGGATTACAGGTGTGAGCCACTGTGCCCAGCCAGGATGTAAATTTCAGTGTCGGAAGTCCTGAGGGCCTCTTGCCTAGCTTCTGCATTTTAGAGATGGAGAGTCTGAGGCCCAGCCCCAGGGTCTGTTTGAACTGAGTTTGAACCCTTATCTCAGAGGCCCTGGTGGCTATGTGAACCCTGCCCCTCTCTGCACCTCCCCCACAGGGAGGCTGTGCTGCCCAAGCTTCACCTGGATGAGGACTACCCATGCTCACTCGTGGGCAACTGGAACACGTGGTATGGGGAGCAGGACCAGGCAGGTAAGGCGCTCACCTCCCTAGTGCCATTGCCACTGCCCAGCCCTGGCCTCCAGCACCTTTCACACCTGGCTGTTCTCCACTCCCTCTCCACAACAGCACCTGGTGGGGCTCTTACTAAAACCTCATCACCTCACTCCCCTGCTCAAATACCTGTCCTGGCTCCCCTGTGCCCTCAAGGTGACCCGTGAAGCCTGTGACTCCTTCCCGGCCCTGCCCCCAGCCTCATGGCACCAAATCCTCCATGCCTCGCTGTGCTGTCCCACCCAGGACTCAGTTCCTCAGATTGACAGTTTCACTCTTTAGTTCCAGACTACTGCTCATTCTCTTTCTTCTGCCTTAAGCATTATTTCTTGTTTGCCTGCTTTACCTGGATCACTGTCTTTTATTCTTTTTTTTTCCGAGACTGAGTTTCACTCTTGTTGCCCCAGGCTGGAGTGCAGTAGTGCAATCTCGGCTCACTGCAACCTCCGCCTCCCCAGTTTAAGCAATTCTCTTGTCTCAGCCTCCTGAGTAGCTGGGATTACAGGCATGTGCCACCACGCCCAGCTAATTTTGTATTTTTAGTAGAGACGGGATTTCACCATGTTGGTCAGGCTGGTCTTGAACTCCTGATCTCAGGTGATCCACCTGCCTCAGCCTCCCAAAGTGCTGGGATTACAGGTGTGAGCCACCGCACCCGGCCTTTTTTTTTTTTTTCTTTTTTCTTTTTTGAGACAGGGTCTCGCTCTGTCACCCAGGCTGGCAGATAGTGGCACAGTCTTGGCTGACTGCAACCTCCACCTCCTGAGTTGAAGATATTCTCCTGCCTCAGCTTCCCGAGTAGCTGGGATTACTGGCCTGTGCCACCAGGCCTGGCTAATTTTGTATCTTTAGTAGAGATGGGGTTTCACATGTTGGTCAGGCTGGTCTCGAACTTCTGACCTCAGGTGATCCACCTGCCTCGGCCTCCCAAAGTGCTGGGATTACAGGAGTGAGCCACCACTCCCGGCCTTTTTTTTTTTTTTTTTTTTTTTTGAGACAGGGTCTTGCTCTGTCACACAGGCTGGAGTGCAGTGGCATAATCTTGGCTCACTCGAGCCTCAATTTCCCAGGCTCAAGCAGTACTCCCACCTCAGCTTCCTGAGTAGCTGGGACTATAGGTGCGCTCCACCATGCTCGGCTAATTTTTGTGTTTTTTGGTAGAGACGGGGTTTCTCCATGTTGCCCAGGCTGGTCTTGAATTCCTGAACTCAAATGATCCTACCTCCTCGGCCTCCCAAAGTGCTAGGATTGTAGACATGAGCCACCGTGCCTGGCCTTTCAGTTTTATTCATTTTTAAATTTTCATTTATTTATTTATTTTTGAAACCAGGTCTTGTTACCCAGTGGGGAGTGCAGTGGTGTGATCACAGCTCACACAGCCTTAACCTCCTGAGCTTAAGCAATCCTCCTACCTCAGCCTCCTGAGTAGCTGGGACCACAGGTGCATGCCACAATGCCCAACTAATTTATTTTAAATTTTTTGTAGAGACGGGATCTCCCTATGTTACCCAGGGTGGTCTCAAACTCCCGGGCTCAAGCGATCCTTCCACTTTGGCCTCCCAAAGTGCTGGGAGTACAGGCATGAGCCACAGTGCCTGGACTATTCACTTTTCTATTTTGGCATAGATGTCACCTCCTCCTGGAAGGCTGCCGAGATTTCCTCCACGCGGGCTGGGTCAGGCACCTTCCTTAGCTCTCCAGGCCTCAGTAATTACCTCCTCACGCCCTGATCATGTACCCCTATAGCTGCCTGTTTAGTTGTCTGTCTCCATATATGGGTGAATCCCCAATATGCAGCACATATTTGTGGAATAAATAGGAGTTCTTCTTGTCTGAGCTGGTGTCTTACAGTCCCAGGGGCACCCCTAGCATGCCCCATCCCAGCCTAATAGACACATCAAAGTTGGCACCAGCTATAAGAACCCACACATGAATTTGGCTGACTCACAGCATCTCAGCCACTCAAAGGGACCTCAAATTCAGACCCACACTGTCCAAAATGATAGCCACTAACCACATGTAGTTATTTATTTATTTATTTTTTTGAGATGGAGCCTCGCTCTGTACTGTCACCCAGGCTGGGGTACAGTGGTGCAATCTTGGCTCACTGCAACCTCTGCCTCCTGGGTTCAAGTGATTCTCCTGCCTCAGCCTCCTGAGTAGCTGAGGTTACAGGCGTGTGCCACCACACTTGGCTAATTTTTGTATTTTTAGTAGAAACAGGGTTTCACCATGTTGGTCAGGCTGGTCTTGAACTCCTGACCTCATGATCCTCCCGCCTGAGCCTCCCAAAGTGTTGGGATTACAGGCATCAGCCACTGCGCCTGGCCTATTTATTTATTTTTTTGAGACAGCGTCTCACTCTGGTTTCCCAGGCTGGACTGCAGTGGTGCAATCACAGCTCACTGCACCCTTGACCTCCCGGGCTCAGATGATTCTCTCACCTCAGCCTCCCAAGTAGCTGGAACTACAGGTGTGCACCACCACAGCCAGCTAATTTTTTATATTTTTAGTAGAGACAGGGTTTCGCTATGTTGCCCAGGCTGGTCTTGAACTCCTGGACTCAAGCAATCCGTCAGCCTTGGCCTCCTGGACTACTGAGATTACAGGTGTGAGCCACTGCGCCCTGGCCTCACATGTAGCTATTGAAATTTATATTAGTTAAAATTACATAAAATTTAAAGTTCAAGCTGTGTGCCAAGGTGCTCACCTGTAGTCCTAGCTACTTGGGAGGCTGAGTTGGGAGGACTGCTTGAGCCCAGGAGTTCGAGGCCGTGATTGAATACCATCACACCTATGAATAGCCACTGCACTCCAGCCTGGGCAACACAGTGAGGACCCTGTCTCTAAAAAAGAAAAAATTCAGGACTGAATATGGTGGCTTATGCTTATAATCCCAGCAGATTAGGAGGCTGAGGTGGGAGGAACACTTGAGGCCAGGAGTTTGAAACCAGCCTGGGCAACATAGTGAGACTTTGCTTCTATAAAGAAAATACATATTAAAAAAAAAAGAAGAAAAGATTTTAAAAAGAAAAAATTCAGTTTCTTAGTCATACTAGCTACATTTCAAATGCTCACTCATATACACACAGGCTCATGCAGAAAGTACTTTTGGACAGTACTGGTTTAGAGTGTCTGCATAGCACAGCCATAACAGATGGTCCTCTAAACTTCCCTTGAACACTCCTAGCCATGAAGAGTTCACTTGTAAGCCAATCTATTTCATCCTTTGACAGCCCTGATAATCGTGTCTTTGAAAATAATCTGTGACCTGCAGATAGATAGGTGTATCTCCTTAATCAATTATTTGGTTTCCGTAACAGACATTAACATATTATTTATGTTTTATTTTTATTATTTCCATTTAGAAACAGGGTCTCACTATATTGCCCAGGCTGGAGTTGAATTTCTGGGCTCGGGCAATCCTCCTGAGTAGCTGGGACTACAGGCGTGTGCCATCATACCTGGCTAGACACTGATATGTGGCTAAGGGAATAAGAGAAAAGCAAATTGCCTTCAGTTTCAGCCACTACAGCTTTCCCATTTTAAGCTTGACTTGATCAGCTCCAGCAGTATTCCTTGAATTCTCTTAAGCATTTGCTAGTTGTGAAATGAACTCTGAGGGATGGGATCCTGACTTTTTCTTTTTTTTCTTTTTCGAGACCGAGTCTCACTCTGTTGCCCAGGCTGGAGTGCAGTGGCGTGATCTCAGCTCACTGCAACCTCTGCCTCCCGGATTCAAGCAAGTTCTCTTGCCTCAGGCTCCCGAGTAGCTGGGACTACAAGTATGAACCACCATGCCTGGCTAATTTTTGTATTTTTAGTAGAGATGGAGTTTCACCATCTTGGCCAGGCTGGTCTCGAACTCCTGACCACAGTTGATCCACCTGCCTCGGCCTCCCAAAGTGCTGGGATTAAAGGCGTGAGCCACTGCCCCTGGCCTTTTTCTTCTTTTTATTTTTCTGTTTGGGACAGGGTCTCGCTCTGTCACCCAGTTTGGAGTGCAGTGGCATGATCATAGTTCACTGTAACCTTGAACTCCTAGGCTCAGGCGATCCTCTCACCTCAACTTCTCGAGTAGCTGGGACCACAGACATGCACCACCATGCCTGGGCTAGTTGTTTTGTTTTGTTTGTTTGTTTGTTTTGTAGAGATGAGGTCTTGCTATGTTGCCCAGGCTGATCTCAGACTCCTGAGCTCAAGTGCTCCTCTCCTGCCTCAGCCTCCCAGAGTGTTGGGATTACAGGCCTGAGCCACTGCGCCTGGCTGATCCTGACTTTTTAAAGCATACCCTACATTTTTTGTACCTTGAAGTTCAGTCCCTCACATAGTCAGCTGAATCATGTTGAGCTGTACGCTGGGAGTAGGGTTCAAGAATCTACATTTTAATAAACTTGTAAGAACCATTGATCCATCTCCTATGGAGAGCACCACAGTTGTTAGACAATTCCTTCTTCTTGGCTGGGCGCGGTGGCTCATGCCTGTATCCCAGCACTTTGGGAGGCTGAGGCAGGTGCATCACCTGAGGTCAGGAGTTCAAGACCAGCCTGGCTAACAAGGTGAAACCCTGTCTCTACTAAAAATACAAAAATTAGCTGGGCGTGGTGGCATGCGCCTGTAATCCCAGCTACTTGGGAGGCATAGGCAGGACAGTCTCTTAAATCCAGGAGGTGGATGTTGCAGTGAGCTGAGATCACGCCACCGCACTCCAGCCTGGGTGACAGAAAAATAAAGAAAATTCCTTCCTCTTGCCAATGATGCTGTCCTTGTAACTTTTCTCCGTTAATCCGTTTTCCACAGGTCATTCCTGGTTTTGGTAGATTTCTATCCATACAGTACTTTTGCCATTTCCTTTGGGAAAAAGACCTTTAAACCATAGGGTCAGGCCATTTTGCAGATGGGAAAATCAAGGCACAGATGGAGTCAAAAAACAGGTGAAGGTCAGGCTGGGGATGGGGATGGGAAGTTACAGAGTCTGAGTTTCTAGACTGCTGGCAGCCAGCTGCCCTTAGCTCTAGCTTGCCTGTGTGATCCCCTGGGGACCTTCCTCCGCTGATGGGCCCAGCCATGCTCCCAGGATGGCAAAACTGTTCCTTTCTTCTCCTCCACAATTAATTAGGTTTCTTTGTTACTAGGAATTAGATTAGTTTCCTGGGGTGGCCAGCATACCGCAAACTGGGTGGCTTAAAATAACAGAGGTTTATCCTGTCACAGTTCTGGAGGCTGGAAGTCACAAATCAAGGTGTTGACAGGGCTGTCCTTCCTCCTAAGGCCTTAGGGGAGAACCCTTCCTTGCCTCTTCCAGTTTCTGGGGATTGCTGGAAACTCTTAGTGTTCCTTGGCTTGTAGACTTGTCATTCTAATCTCTGCCTCCCTCGTCACATGCTGTTCTCTCTGTGTGTCTCTGTCTTCACATAGTGTTCTCCTGTGTCCAGATCTCCCACTTCTGATAAGGACACTAGTCACTGGACTCAGGGCTCACCTAGTATAATCTCATCTTAGGTCGATTATACCCACAGAGACCTATTTCCAAATAAGGTCACATTCTGAGGTTCTGGGTGGGCATAAATTTTGAGGGGACATTGTTCAACTCAGTGCAGATAATATGATTTTTATTTATTTTTATTTTTATTTATTTATTTTTTGAGACGGAGTCTTGCTCTTTTGCCCAGGCTGGAGTGCAGTGGTGCGATCTCAGCTCACCACAACCTTTGCATCCCAGGTTGAAGCGATTCTCTTGCCTCAGCCTCCTGAGTAGCTAGGATTACAGATGTGCATCACCACGCCCAGCTAATTTTTGTTTTAGTAGAGATGGGGTTTCGCCAAGTTGGTGAGGCTGGTCTCAAATTTCCGACTTCAGATGATCCACCTGCCTCAGCCTCCCAAAGTTGATTATTTATTTACTTGAGACGGAGTCTCACCCTGCCACCCAGGCTGGAGTACACTGGCACAATCTTGACTCACTGCAACCTCTACCTCCTGGGTTCAAGCGATTCTCCTGCCTCAGCCTCCCGAGTAACTGGGATTATAGGCATGTGCCACCACACCCAACTAATTTTTTTTTTTTTTTTTTAAGATGGAGTCTCGCTCTGTTGTCCAGGCTGGAGTGCAGTGGCATGATCTCGGCTCACTGCAAGCTCTGCCTCCTGGGTTCATGCCATTCTCCTGCTTCAGCCTCCCGAGTAGCTGGGACTATAGGTGCCCGCCACCACGCCTGGCTAATTTTTTGTATTTTTAGTAGAGACGGGGTTTCACTGTGTTAGCCAGGATGGTCTCGATCTCCTGACCTCGTGATCCACCTTCCTCAGCCTCCCAAAGTGCTGGGATTACAGGCGTGAGCCACCGTGCCCGGCCCAGGATTTTTATAAATTCTAACAGTACAAAGAGTTTTCCATGCAAAGTAAGCTTCCCTCCTGCCCGAGGCCCCACAGGCCTCCATTCTGTGTCCCAGGGGCATCTACTGTCAATCTCTTTTTTTTTGAGACGGAGTTTCGCTCTTGTTGCCCAGGTTGGAGTGCGATGGCACAATCTTGGCTCACCGCCACCTCTGCCTCCCAGGTTCAAGTGATTCTCCTGCCTCAGCCTCCCAAGTAGCTGGGATTACAGGCATGCGCCACCACACCTGGCTAATTTTGTATTTTTAGTAGAGATGGGGTTTTTCCATGTTGGTCAGGCTGGTCTCCACCCACCTCAGCCCCGCAAAATGCTGGGATTACAGGTGTGAGCCACTGCGCCTGGTCTACTGTCAATCTCTTAAGTCGCCATTAAGAGGTGATGCATAAATTAGCATCTCTGGATGTCCTTGCCACCTCAACACATGAGGTAGCATACCACACATCCTCTTCTGTTCCTTGGTTCCTTTTTTCAATTCACTGTCTTGGAATGTTCCATATCAGCCCATCAGTTCTCCCCTGTTCTTTTGTTCAGCTGCCCCTCTAAGGCCTGGTGGTCTTCCTTATGCATGCCACTGCTTCCAGGGTACAGGACACATCTGATCTTCTTGTTGCTATTTAAGGAAGGTGGGGTGGGAACATTATTCCCATTTTCAAGATGAGAACATTGAGGCCTAGAGCAGTCCAAGGCTGCTGGGCAGAGCTGGAGCTCAAATCCAGGTCTCCTAGACTTGTGTCTAGGGTCATCCCCTCCCCAGCATGGTCTTCCACCAAGGCAGAGGGAACTCAGGGAGTCTTGCTGCTACAGGGAACCAGGCCACCCCGCCTCCCCCGTCCCCACCACTTAGCCAACCTTGAGGAGGTCATCTGCTGGGGGTCCCAGCAGCTCACTGACCTATACCTCTCACCCCCAACAGTGCACCTGTGGCGATTCTCAGGTGGCTACCCAGCCCTCATGGACTGCATGAACAAGCTCAAAAACAATAAGGTATGTTAGTGTCCACTCAGCACACCTCTCTGGATGTGGGATGCAGCCCAGCCCTGTTCTGGGGACTACTCTGCTACCCCATGAGGCACACTGTCAGGATGGAGCGCACTTCCTGGTAGCCATGCCTTTACCACCATGCCCACAGGAGTACCTGGAGTTCCGAAGGGAGCGGAGCCAGATGCTGCTGTCCAGGAGAAACCAGCTGCTCCTCGAGTTCAGCTTCTGGAATGAGCCACAGCCCAGAATGGGTCCCAACATCTATGAGCTGAGGACATACAAGCTCAAGGTGCCTCCCTCCGACAGACCCCCTCCTGCCCCCCAATTTCCCTGCTGCAATGCTGCTTTGCAGCTGCCCCAACACCTAGACTGGGGCTTCTGGCTTCTCCCTCCCTATGGGCTCAGAGCAGAGTTGTATACACATGTGTGCAAACATGCACACCAGGTGTGTGTCAGGGCCTGCGAATGAGGCCAAATGGCCGCTGCAGCTTGGGAGGTGGGGAGACAGGGCAGTTTCCCTTCCTTGCCAAGCTGTGATGCTATGAATCTGAGGTGGGGGCTCATTCCCATCATCCCTTTGGTTCTCTTTCAGCCAGGAACCATGATCGAGTGGGGGAACAACTGGTAAGTGGCAGCACCAAGACTGGGGTTGGGGGAGGCGTACCCTGCTCACCTGCCCCACCAAGGCCCCTGGTGGGCCACCTTTTCCAGGGCCATATCACAGGGAACTCTTTACCTTCTGCCCCTCATGGATCTGGGAGAAGGATCCAGCCAGGAGGTGAGGATCTCCTAGAAGGTTGTGACCCCTCCGTTGGTAGAACACCCCGCCATCAGTCCTTTCTCTCAGCATCCCGGAGGACCGTGGGTTCCACCTAGGCCCCTCCTGTGAAGTGTGGCCAAGGAATCAGCCTCAGTACCCTCTGCACCAGCCCTGGCTTCTGCCCCATATTATTGTGCCTTCTCCAGGGCTCGGGCCATCAAGTACCGGCAGGAGAACCAGGAGGCAGTGGGCGGCTTCTTCTCACAGATAGGAGAGCTCTACGTGGTGCACCATCTCTGGGGTAGGTTGAGGACCTTCCAGGAGCCTTTTGTTAGTTCTCTTTCTCTGTCATCACTCTCTGTAGCCAATGGGGTTGTATTAGTGTCCTCATAGAACTTAATGTTCTAGCAGGAGACACTATCTTAGATGTAAAGTCACAAAAAGATCAATTTCAGATTACAAATAATATTTATAGAAAATAGGCAAGGAGTCTGGGAGCGGTGGCTCAAGTGTATAATCACGACACTTTGGGAGGCCGAGGTGGGCAAATCACAAGGTCAAGAGATCGAGACCATCCTGGCCAATATGGTGAAACCCCATCTCTACTAAAAATACAAAAATTAGCTGGGCGTGGTGGCGCATGCCTGTAGTCCCAGATACTCGGGAGGATGAGGCAGGAGAATCAGTTGAACCCGGGAGGTGGAGGTTGCAGTGAGCTGAGATCACGCCATTGCACTCCAGCCTGGCAACAGAGCGAGACTCCGTCTCAAAAAAAAAGAAGAAAAAAAAAAAAGGCAGGGAGAGATGATGGTGAAAAACATAGGGGATCTACATTGGTCTAGGTAGACAAATAATGCCTCTCTGAGGAAGTAAAATGTAAGCTGAGAGCTAAAGGATGAGAAGGAGCCAGCTGTGAATTGCTAGGCAAAAGCATTCCAAGTAGACAGAGCAGCACATGCAAAGGCCCTGTGGTGGGGAAAGGCCTTCGGGGTTTTGAGGTGTGGCAAGGAGGCCAGTGTGGAGTGAGTAGGGAAGAATGTGGGGAGATGGAACAGGAGAGGGGGAATGAGTTGGGATTTATTGTAAATGCAATGAGAGACTATTTGTTTCAAATAGCAGTGACACGACCTGATTTTTGTTCTAGTATGATTTCTCTGGCTGCTGTCTGCTTTGTTAAGAGTGCTTGGTAGGCGAGCAAGAGAGAAAGCAGGGCTTCAGGAAGCCATTACTCTAGTTCAGGCAGGAGGGGATGGGGCAGTGGGATGCTGAGAAGTCCACAGAAGATTTGTTAGTCTAGAGGTGGAACCAACAGGACTTGTGGATGAATTGTCTGTGTGGGGCAAGAGAAGGAGAAGGGCATTCCAGAAGAGCTCCCAGGCTCGTGCTTGAGCTGCTGTGTGTCATCTCCTGAGTCTGGGAGGTCTAGGGAAGGAGCAAGTCAGTGGGGTCAGGAGCGTAATTTTGGCCCTTGGAATTGTTACTTTTTTTTTTTTTCTTTGAGACACAGTCTTGCTCTGTCACCTAGGCTGGAGTGCAGTAGTGTGATCTCAGCTCACTGCAACCTCCGCTTCCCAAGTTCAAGTGATTCTCGTGCCTCACGCTCCTGAGTAGCTGGGATTACAGGCATGCAGTACCATGCCCAACTAATTTTTCTATTTTTAGTACAGAGTTTCGCTATGTTGGCCAGACTGGCCTCGAACTCCTGGCCTCAAGCAGTCCACCAGCCTCGGCCTCCCAAAGTGCTGGGATTATAGGCATGAGCCACCGCACCTAGCCGGAAGTGTTAACACTAAAAATGCTGACACACCAAAGTAGAGATGTCAAGTAGGCAGTAGATGGATATAGGAGTCTGGAGCCCTTGGGAGTGTTTGCGACTAGAAATATAAATGTAGGCAATATTAACATATGTACTGATTGGATGGATGATTAAAGCAGACAGTGTTTGCTAATAGTCTGAGGGAGGCATCTAGGGAGGAGGAGACAGCAGTGCAGGGTTTAGGGGACAGTGGGAAGAGGGCCCTGTGCTGGGTAAGGGATCCAGTCCTCTGTGCCTGAGGAATGAGCCTGTGCCTTTCTCACAGCCTATAAAGACCTGCAGTCTCGGGAGGAGACTCGAAACGCTGCCTGGAGGAAGAGAGGCTGGGATGAAAATGTCTACTATACAGGTGAGTGAAGCCTTTGGAGGTCTTCTGCTGAGAACCCTGTCTGAGGATGGAATCCTCTCTGCAAGGAGATCTAGTCTTTCTTGATTACCTCCAGTGATGGGGAACTCACTTTTAAGACAATGAGTTAATGGGTTTCTATCCAAGTGGCACACTCCATAGGATACCAGCAGGCCTAGGTGAGTACTCTAGGGGATGATAACATAGCCAGGGCCACGCCTCTGCCTAGGAGATGTGGATTAGCAAACGCCCATTGTGACCTTGGGCACGGTTCTTTACCTCGCTGAGGCTGTTCCCTCGTCTGTAAGATAGTGATGGTGATAGTGCTTCTGTCAGAGGGCTATAACGGAAGATTCTACAAACTATTTTATTATTTTATATTTTATTTTATTTTATTTATTTTTGAGACACAGTCTCACTCTGTCACCCAGGGTGGAGTGCAGTGGCATGATCTTGGCTCACTGTAGCCTCCGCCTCCCAGGTTCAAGCCATTCTCCTGCCTCAGCCTCCCGAGTAGCTGGGATTACAGGCGTGTGTCACCATGTCCAGCTAATTTTGTATTTTTAGTAGAGACGGGGTTTTATCATGTTGGCCAAGCTGGTCTCGAACTCCTGACCTCAGGTGATCCGCCTGCCTCGGCCTCCCAAAGTGCTGTGATTACAGGCATGAGCCACCACATCTGGCCCACAAACTCATTTATGAAAAGTGCTTTCTCCAGTGTCTGTCACAAAGGAAGCATGCAGGAAATGTTTTTGAATAAGGTTTTTGTTTTTGTAGAGATGCAGTCTTACTATGTCACCCAGGCAGGTCTCAAACTCCTGGGCTCAAGCAGTCCTCCCACCTCAGCCTTCCAAAGTGCTGGGATCATAGGCATGAGCTACTGTGCCCAGCCTTGAACAAGTTTTTTGCTCAAGGTGTTTGCCACTTTGCTAGGAACCTGAAACCACCTAGAGTCAGTGGGTGTTAATTAAGCCCTCACTGTGTGCCGGGAACTGTGGTAGGTAGGTGGTTGAGGGGCACATAAATGAACAAGAGCCTGTCCTTGCCATTGAGAAGTTTACAGTGATCACTTACCAGGTGGTATGAGGGAGAATGTGTCTGCTGAAGGAGTTAGCAGGAGCCTTGCTATTCAGTGTGGTCCCAGCTGGGTATGGTGGCTCACAACTGAAATCCTAGTACTTTGGGAGGCCAAGGCAAGAGGATCACTTGAGGTCAGTAGTTTAAGACCAGCCTGGGCAACATAGGGAGACCCCATCTCTACAAAACATTTTTTAAAAATTAGCAGGACGTGGTGTTTCCCATCTGTAGTCCCAGCTACTTGGAAGGCTGAGGTGGGAGGATCACTTGATCCCAGGAGTTTGAGGCTGCAGGGAGCCATGATTGTGCCATTGCACTCCAGCCTGGGCAACAGTGAGACCCTATCTCAAAAATAAAAAATAAAAATAATAAAAAACAAGACAAGCACAGTGGCTTACACCTGTAATCCCAGCACTATGAAGTTGAGGTATGTGGATCAATTGAGGCCAGGAGTTGGAGACCAGTCTCGGCAACATGGTGAAACCTCGTCTCTACTAAAAATAAAAAAAATTAGCCAGGCATGGTAACTCAAGCCTGTAATCCCAGCTACTCGGGAGGCTGAGGCACAAGAATCACTTGAACCCAGGAGGCGGAGGTTGCATTGAGCCGAGAACCTGCCACTGCACTCCAGCCTGGAAGACAGAGTGAGACCCTGTCTCAAAAAAAACAAAAAACAAAAAAAATCAAGTGTGGTCCCAACTGACAGTATTGGCATCCCCTGGGAGCTTGTTAAGAATGACAAATCTCGGCTGGGCGCAGTGGCTCACGCCTGTCATCCCAGCACTTTGGGAGGCTGAGGTGGGCAGATCACCTGAGGTCAGGAGTTCAAGACCAGCCTGACCAACATGGAGAAACCCTGTCTCTACTAAAAATACAAAATTAGCCAGGCATAGTGGCACATGCCTGTAATCCCAGCTACTCGGGAGGCTGAGGCAGGAGAATCGCTTGAAACCGGAAGGCAGAGGTTGCAGTGAGCCGAGATAGTGCCATTGCACTCCAGCCTGGGCAACAAGAGTGAAATTCCATCTCAAACAAAGAAACAAACAAGAATAACAAATCGCAGGCTTCCTGCAACCTACCAAATCAGAATCTGCACATTAACAAGAACTGCCAAGTGATTTGTATGCACATTAAAGTTTGAAAAGCTCTGAGCTGGAGGAAAGAGTCTAACCTCCTGGATGACCTGGAGCTGACCTTCTCTAGGCTGCACCCTCTCTATCTGTAAAACGAGGCAGTTGGTCTAAATCAGTGTTTTTCTTTTCTTTTTTTTTGAGACGGAGTTTTGCTCTTGTTGCCCAGGCTGGAGTGCAATGGCCTGATCTCGGCTCACAGCAACCTCTGACTCCCGGGTTCAAGCGATTCTCCTGCCTCAGCCTCCCGAGTAGCTAGGATTACAAGCATGTGCCACTACGCCCGGCTAATTTTGTATTTTTAGTAGAGAGAGGGTTTCTCCATGTTGGTCAGGCTAGTCTCGAACTCCTGACCTCAGGTGATCCGCCTGTCTTGGCCTCTCTAAGTGCTGGGATTATAGGCACAAGCCACCATGCCTGGCCAACAGATAACTATTAAAATTTAAGAAAATGTTATTCTCATCACCACCAAAGTCCTGTCTTATCCCATAATTTGAGGGATCTGGTGCTCTTCATGGGCCCTTCCACGAGGGCAATGGGACATTCCTGTCGCAGCATCTGGGGCCTCCTCCTGCCCACTCAAAGGCCAGCATGTGTGGGTGGGGCCAGGGGAGGTTGTTGGCTTGCTTGAGCCCCCTGTGTGACCTCTGCCTTCTCTCTCCGCAGTCCCCCTGGTGCGACACATGGAGTCTAGGATCATGATCCCCTTGAAGATCTCGCCTCTGCAGTGATGCTGCCTACACCTCCACCTCCTTCCCCTTCTCCCTCAGGCAACCCCGACAGACAGTGGCACTCCTGGTCCTGCTGTCTTGGTTTTGTCTTGGCTCTGGGAGGACTCTGAGGGGCAGTGCTCAGTTCAGACAAGGGGGAACTGAAGGCTGACAAGTTCTGAGGATTACAGCTCTGCCCAGGCCCTTTCTACTTTCCCTGCCTGCCTCCCTCCCCCTGCTAGAAGTAGTTTCTGATTTCCCTGAATGAAAGATAGTGATCTTTTAGGCCTTCATTTATCTTCTAAAATTCCTCATCTCAAGGCCACCAGTCCCCAGTTATCACCCTTGGAAATCCTCTGTTTAGCTTAGTTGCACAAAAGGTAGTATGTCCAGTGGCTAGAGGTGGGGTGGGAAGAGAGGAGGCCAGGCCAGGCCCTCAGGAATTCCCTGGTTTCCACTGGGCCACCCACTTGCTGGACAGTCTGAGCCAAGTCCCTCCTGCTGGAGAAAAGCCTGGAACTGCCAAAACAAAAAAACAAATACAAACAAACCTCGTCACCACGGTCAGGAGGAGGTTCAGACATTCTGCCCAGAGGGGCTGGGGAAAGGGATGGGAGCCAGGAAAGATTTAGGGGCAGGAGACAGACACGTAACAGGAACTCGGAAGGTAGAACTTAGAATTCAGAACTTGGGTTTCAATTGTAGAATTTGGAATCTGGAATACAGAATTGGGAAGAAGAACAGAGATGACAAAAGACCACTTGAAGAGAGGTTCCTAATACTAGACAGATGGAGAGTGGCTTGGCTGTTTCCCCCTGCATATTGGGGTTGAAAACTTAAATGTGTAGTTCCAGTCCTTCTATGCAGAGTCTCTCCTGCCCTCCCTCCTTCCTGCAGGCAAATATACAAGCTAGACCCTGTTCCCTCACCCTGTATCCTGTCTCCCCTAATTGACATTCTATCAGCCCAACCCTCATTCTGCAGGGCCACCTGGTGTGTGGAGGTGGCGGGAGGGGTCAGTGACTCTGGGGGTCTCCTCAGTGACCCCCATACCTCATCATGAACCCTTGGGTAGCTTGATTCTGCCTACCATCCAGGAAAACTTGTGCTGGAATTGCTGATGGAAACAATTAAATATTTACTATAAATCAGTGTCTTTTCTTCATCTGCAAGGAACTTTAGCAGGTGCCTGAGGCAGGGCACAGTAGAGCTGGTGGGCTTAGTCCCACATGGCAGATCTACCCTCCTGGAGGGTACTGTGTTCTTGAGCTATTCTCAACAGTCAGTACTGGTTGGGTGCAGTGGCTCACGCCTGTAATCCCAGCATTTTGGAAGTCCGAGGTGGGCAGATCACTTGAGTGAGGTCAGGAGTTCAAGACCAGCCTGGGCAACATGGTGAAACCCTGTCTCTACTAAAAATACAAAAATTAGCTGGGCATGGTGGTGCATGCCTGTAATCCCAGCTACTTAGGAGGCTGAGGCAGGAGAATCCTTTAAACCCTGGAGTCGGAGTTTGCAGTGAGCGGGGATTGCGCCACTGCACTTCAGCCTGGGTGAGAGAGCAAAACTCTGTCTCAAATAAAAATAAAAATAAAAAAGAGCCAGTATTTTCCTCCTTGCTCCTGGGAAGGAGAAGGAACTGGCCCCGTACAACCAGGGATTCAGGACACGTGTTACTAGCTCCAGATGAGGATTTACACGAAAAAATCCTGGGCCTTGTTTGTACAGTTCATGCCAGGGGTAGGAAATACCTGAAGCTTTCAAATACTGCGTTAGAGTTGTGACTCTGTCCTGGGCAAGTCAGGCCTAAAATGGAGAAACTGGTGATGCACTCCTCAAAAAGCCAAGTGTAAAATGAGGTTAATGCCCTCCCTGACTTGTTGCCTTCACTGGCGTGGCATATTATGGTAAAAATAATAATTAAGAAGTAAGGTTATGCAGGCAAATCCTCTAGCGCCGAAATCTTCCCCGCCGCGCTACCAGGTTCTTTCGTGTTATCTTGGACATAACACAACATTAATTCAACTACTCGGTGGAGCGCCCACTAGCTGCTGGACACTCTCTTAGGCCCTGGGCACAGTGAACGAGAAGCATGTGTCTTTGTTTTTACAGTCTCACCACGCCACCACCTCCCTCGGGGGCCTCCGCGCTGAGCTTCCGGCCTCTACGCCTCGCTTCCGGTCGGCCGCCCCTTCCTTACTTCCGGTTCTCTATGGTGCGCGGGCAAGCTTTGCTCCGCCTCCGGCAGTGGCTTACTCCCGGTGCCAGGTTCTTGGAGCTGTGAGGTGAGGAGGGGACAAGGGCAGTGGGGCTGGGAGATGGGGCGGGGCTGGGCGCTCCGGGACTGAGGTGCTGATCGCCCAAAGGGCGCCCCTGGGCTGGGGTCTGACCCGGCTTCTCCTCCCTCACTACCCGCGGTCCCCGGCCTCTCGGCGCTGCGCTGTTACCTCATCCGAAAAGTGTTCGCTGCAGCATCCTCAGGCTTCACGTTGGAGCCTCTTGATTGTGGTAATGTAGCCTGATGGGGGTGGGGGTGGTGGTGATGGTAACAGCTCACATATATCGTGCTCTTCGGTGTGCCAGGCACTCTACTGTGTTGCCAAAGTCAGGATTTCCCACACTTAAGCCTTTCAGGTCCGGTCTTTGTAGGCTTTGCCAGATCAACTTACCACCTCTACTACCGTTTATTAAAAATTTGTTTGTTTGTTTGTTTTAGTATTTATTGATAATTCTTGGGTGTTTCTCGCAGAGGGGATTTGGCAGGGTCATAGGACAATAGTGGAGGGAAGGTCAGCAGATAAACAAGTGAACAAAGGTCTCTGGTTTTCCTAGGCAGAGGACCCTGCAGCCTTCCGCAGTGTTTGTGTCCCTGGGTACTTGAGATTAGGGAGTGGTGATGACTCTTAAGGAGCATGCTGCCTTCAAGCTTCTGTTTAACAAAGCACATCTTGCCCCGCCCTTAATCCATTTAACCCTGAGTGGACACAGCACATGTTTCAGAGAGCACGGGGTTGGGGGTAAGGCTATAGACCAACAGCATCCCAAGGCAGAAGAATTTCTCTCAGTACAGAACAAAATGGAGTCTCCCTTGTCCACCTCTCTCCACACAGACACAGCAACAATCCGATTTCTCTATCTTTTCCCCACATTTCCCCCCTCTCTACTAGACAAAACCGCCATCGTCATCATGGCCCGTTCTCAATGAGCTGTTGGGTACACCTCCCAGACGGGGTGGCGGCCAGGCAGAGGGGCTCCTCACCTCCCAGAAGGGGCGGCCGGGCAGAGGCGCCCCCCACCTCCCGGACGGGGTGGCGGCCAGGCGGAGGCGCCCCCCTACCCCCGACCCGACGGGGCGGCTGGCCGGGCTGGGGCTGGCCCCCACCTCCCCCCCGGACGGGGCGGCTGGCCGGGCGGGGGCTGCCCCCCACCTCCCGGACGGGGCGGCTGCTGGGTGGAGGGGCTCCTCACCTCTCAGACGGGGCAGCCGGGCAGAGACGCTCCTCACCTCCCAGACGGGGTCGCAGCCGGGCAGAGGTGCTCCTCACATCCCAGACGGGGCGGCGGGGCAGAGGTGCTCCCCACATCTGAGATGATGGGCGGCCGGGCAGAGACACTCCTCACTTCCTAGACGGGATGGGGTCCGGGAAGAGGTGCTCCTCACTTCCCAGACTGGGCAGCCGGGCAGAGGGGCTCCTCACATCCCAGATGATGGGCAGCCGGGCAGAGACGCTCCTCACTTCCCAGACGGGGTGGCGGCCGGGCAGAGGCTGCAATCTTGGCACTTTGGGAGGCCAAGGCAGGCGGCTGGGAGGTGGAGGTTGTAGCGAGCCGAGATCACGCCACTGCACTCCAGCCTGGGCACCATTGAGCACTGAGTGAACGAGACTCCGTCTGCAATCCTGGCACCTCGGGAGGCCGAGGCTGGCCGATCACTCGCGGTCAGGAGCTGGAGACCAGCCTGGCCAACACAGCGAAACCCCGTCTCCACCAAAAAATACGAAAACCAGTCAGGCGTGGCGGCGCGCGCCTGCAATTGCAGGCACTCGGCAGGCTGAGGCAGGAGAATCAGGCAGAGAGGTTCCAGTGAGCCGAGATGGCCGCAGTACAGTCCAGCTTCGGCTCGGCATCAGAGGGAGACCGTGGAGAGAGGGGGAGGGGGGAGGGGGAGGGGTTTACTAAAAATTTTTAATCCAGTCCAAATTTTTTTTTTGCAACGGGATCTCTGTTGTCAAGACTGAGTGCAGTGGCGCGATCATAGCTCACTGCAGCCTGGAACTTCTGGGCTCAAGCCATCCTCCCACCCTAGCCTCCAGAGTAGCTTGGGACCACAGGTGTGCACCGCCATACTAGGCTAATTTTAAAATGTTTTCTAAAGATGGGGTCTCGCTCTGTTGCCCACTCTGGTCTTGAACGCCTGGGCTCAAGCGATTCTCTCACCTCTGCTTGCCTTGGTTTCCCAAAGTGTTGGGATTACAGGTGTGAGCCATGGTGTTGGGCCCAGTCACTTTTTTTGTTGTTGTTGAGACTGAATCTCGCTCTGTTGCCCAGGCTGGAGTGAAGTGGCTGCGATCTCGGCTCATTGCAACCTCTGCTCCCTGGGTTCAAGTGATTCTCCTACCTCAGCCTCCTGAGTAGCTGAGATTACAGGCGCCCGCCTCCACTCCCGGCTAATTTTTGTATTTGTGGTACTGACGGGGTTTCACCATGTTGGCCAGGCTGGTCTCAAACTCCTGACCTCAGGTGATCCACCCGCCTCAGCCTCCCAAAGTGCTGGGATTACAGGCCTGAGCCACTGCGCCCAGCCAAGTCACTTTTTAAACTCAAATTTACTTTGAGAGAAAACTTGAAATCTCTCCACCAGAAATGGAAAGCTGCTTTCACTTGTTTTATGTAGAAGGTAAAAATTAATATAGTTAATATAATGCAACTAGATCATTGTTAACAAACTCTGGCTAGATTTTGTTGTTTAAGGCTGTGGGATAGAGTTCTTTTGTTACAAAGGAACATTGGCATTCATAGATGTTAAAGACAAACTAGGGAACTGAGATGTTCTCCTTGAAGCAATCAGAAGTTTCAAAATAAGAATTGAAAAGGGATTAACTTTCTCCTTAGGTGTTCAGCATTATTTAAGATCACCTATGCATCATCTGAAGCCACAGTCCCAGGTCATCTTCATCACCTTCCCCAGTGGAATGCCTCCTGTGTTAAAGCCCACAACAACCCCTGTGGTAGGGACTGTTATTCTCATTTGATTTGTGAGGAATCAGACCCAGAGAAAAGTGAAGTGACTCGTCCGGGGACTCATAGCCATGAAAGAGTAGAATGGAGATTCCAGTTCAGGGCTCTCTGACTTTTACCGTGACAAACTATTGGCTCCCTCAAGTCGGGGATGTGGAAGCTTCAGTGAGTGATGATTGTGCCACTGCACTCCAGCTTGGGTGACAGAGCAAGAGGGATTAGGGTAAAGGGGACAGTGCTGCCCACCTCAGGAGGCTGTGGTGAGGCAACAAGGGAGGATGCTTTGTGACTGTAGAGCCCCATGAAATGTAGGTTCTATACTTTAAATTCTAGGATCAACCTGGGAGTCAATGGCATCACTAGATGAGAGGCTGGCAGGACTAGGAGGCATAAAAGTGTAGTTAAGAGCACCAGTATGGCATTGATTGGATAGATCCGGATTTTGGCCTACTAGTCATGTGACTCGCAATTACTTGCAAGTAATTCCCCTTGCGAGCCTCAGTTTTGTCATCTGTGAAATGGTGGTAGTTCTTAGCTGAAAAGTTTGTTATAAGGAGCAAATGAGAACATACCCATAAAGTAGTTAGATCAAGGCCCAGCACACAGTGATCACAGTAGTATTGGGAGTGTCTTTAAATGCCAGACCGAGGAGTTTGGATACTAATTTATGGAGCACTCTGCCAGGCTCAGGGGGAAGAGGGTAGAGCTCACAATCTAGGTGGGAAGACAGGTAAATGATTCATAGAGATAAATTCCCTAATAGTGTACCCAAAGTAGCCAAAAGAGGGCTTTGGGGAGACCTGACAGGCTTCCTAGAGCAGATGAGCATTGCTTAGTCTTGAAGGATATAGGGAGGAAAAGGAAGATCTTTGCAAGCAGGGGAAAAGACATGGAGTGTTTGGGGAACTGGGATTGCAGGGTGCAGTTGCAGCTAGGAGCAGAGGTTGGGGACAGTGGGAAGGTCGGTAGGAATAGGAATGCAAGAAATGAAGTTGGGAAGGTAGGTTGGGGACAAACCATCAAGGGTCTTTATGACAAGTCAGGGAATATGGATATTCAGTGCATTATGAAGAGCCAGCAAAGGTTTTGAAACAGGAGAGGCATTAATTAGGTCGGTCTTTTTTAAGAAAGAGAATTTAGACAGTATTGTTGGGCAAGACTGTTAGAGTAGTCCTGGAGAGGAATGTGGAGGGCCTGGCCTAGGGTGTTGAGATGGAGACACACATGGTGCCTGGATAGCTGGGTGAACACTTGAATGCAGGTCTCCTCTATGGAGAGTGTGGAGCAGGATGTGGGTGGAGGCAGGGCAGGGAGAGGTTGAAGTAGATGATTCCGAGGTCAGTGGGAGTGGGTGGTGATGCCTTTTTAAAAGAGAAGGTGGAGTTTGTTTTGGACAGGCTGAGAGATGCTTCCCTGTTGTATTACAGAGGGTTAAATTGAGGCTTTGAGGGGTTAAATGACTTTCCTTGAGTTACCAAGTCTGTAAGTGGCCAGAACTGCTAGTTTGACTTCAGTGTTATGACTCCAGAAGAATCTCAAAAACTTTCTCCTCTTAACAGGAGGAACAACCATGTCATCAGAATCGAGCAAAAAACGGAAGCCCAAAGTGATCCGAAGCGATGGAGCCCCAGCTGAAGGAAAGCGGAATCGATCTGACACCGAGCAGGTGAGATCAGTCAGGGTTGCCATGCTGCTGAGAAATTACATCTCATGGCCAAGCACCTGGCTGTGTGTTTGCAGCAGCTCGGGGTCGCATCTACCAGGTACAACTTTTTGGTGGCTTCCACTTGACCAGGTGACTGGGATTCCTGTTTCTTCACTAAAGCTGAGTGTCCACATCTGGTTTAGCTGCAGCATCTCCAAAACCAACAAGCCTGTATTAGACATGATTATACCTACCCAGAGAATGTATTCCAGTATGATATGTGTCTCCAGTTTTCCTGATGGTCAGAAGAAGGTAGTCCATCTGCAGCATGGCACTGGAGCTTCAGGAATCCCTCGGTGTGCTGCTGAGACAATACCAGAACCATGTGCCCACAGAACCTCTTTTGTGGCCTGAGAGCTCATGTGGTCGTCAGGTTCTTTTCTTCTTTTTGTCTGTTTCTCTGTCCTTGAATCTGTCAACTTCATTTGTGACTTAGCTATTTAAAAAAAATTTTTTTTGAGACAGGGTCTCACTGTGTCGCTCACGTCGGAGTACAGTGGCACGATTTCTGCTCACTGCAGACTGCATTTCCTGGGCTCAAGCGATCCTCCCACCTCAGTCTCCCAAGTAGCTGGGACCACAGCTGCACGCCACCATGCCCAGCTAATTTTGTATTTTTTGTAGATATGAGGTTTTGCCACGTTACCCAGGTTGGTCTCAAACTCCTGAGCTTAAGTGATCTACCTGCCTTGGCCTCCCAAGGTATTGGGATTATAGGTGTGAGCCACCCCGCACCCAGCTGGAATTCCTCTCTATAGGAGACTGTCATGCAGCCATTTTGATTGAGATCTGTATTTACTGGGATGGTCATATGGTTTGGCCGTGTCCCCACCCAAATCTCAACTTGAATTGTATCTCCCAGAATTGCCATGTGTTGTGGGAGGGACCTACGAGGAGGTAATTGAATCATGGGGGCCGGTCTTTCCCATGCTGTTCTTATTATAGTGAATAAGCCTCATGAGATCTGATGCGCTCATCAGGGGTTTCTGCTTTTGCTTCCTCCTCATTTTTCTTTTGCTGCCGCCATGTAAAAAGTGCCTTTCACCTCCTGCCATGTTCCTGAGGCCTCACCAGCCATGTGGAACTGTTAAGTCCAATTAAACCTCTTTTTGTTCCCAATTTCAGGTATGTCTTTATCAGCAGCGTGAAAATAAACTAATCCAGTAAATTCATACCAGTAGAGTGGGGGTTTGCTGAAAAGATACCTGAAAATGTGGAAGCGACTTTGGCACTGGGTAACAGGCAGAGGTTGGAACAGTTTGGAGGGCTTGGAAGAAGACAGGAAAATGTGGGAAAGTTTGGAACCTCCTAGAGACTTGTTGAATGGCTTTGACAAAAATGCTGATAATGGGCCGGACATGGTGGCTCACGCCTGTAATCCCAGCACTTTGGGAGTCTGAGGCAGGTGGATCACGAGGTCAGGAGTTAAAGACCAGCCTGGCTAAGATGGTGAAACCCTGTCTCTACTAAACATACGAACAAATTAGCCAGGCGTGGTGGCGGTAGCCTGTAATCCCAGCTACTCGGGAGGCTGAGGCAGAGAATTGCTTGAACCCAGGAGGCAGAGGTTGCAGTGAGCCAAGATCATGCCACTGCACTCCAGCCTGGGTGACAGAGTGAGACTCCATCTCAAAGAAAAAAAAAAAAGTTGATAATGATATGAACAATAAGGTCCAGCCTGAGGTGGTCTCAGATGGAGATGAGGAACTTATTGGAAACTGCAGCAAAGGTGACTCTTGTGTTTTAGCAAAGAGACTGAAAACATTTGCCCCTGCCTTAGAGATTTGTGGAACTTTGAACTTGAGAGAGAGGATTTAGGGTATCTGGTGGAGGAAATTTCTAAGTAGCAAACCATTCAAAAGGTGACAGGGCCATGTGCAGTGGCTCACGCCTATAATCCTAGCACTTTGGGAGGCCGAGGCAGGTGAACCACTTGAGGTCAGGAGTTTGAGACCAGCCTGGCCAACATGGCAAAACCCTATCTCTACTAAAAATACAATAAAAATTAGCCAGACATGGTGGTGGGCCCCTGTAATCCCAGCTACTTGGGAGGCTGAGGCAGGAGAATCGCTTGAACCCGGGAGGCAGAAGTTGCAGTGAGCTGAGATTGCGCCATTGCACTCCAGCCTGAGCAACAAGAGCAAGACCTTGTCTCAAAAAAAAAAAAAAGAAGTGACTTGGGTACTGTTAAAAGCATTCCATTTTAAAAGGAAAACAGAGCATAAAAGTTTGGAAAATTTGTAGCCTGATGACACAGTAGAAAAGAAAAACCCGGCTGGGCACGGTGGCTCACGCTTGTAATCCCAGCACTTTGGGAGGCCGAGCTGGGTGGATCACTTGAGGTCAGAAGTTCGAGACCAGCCTGGGCAACATGGTGAAACCCCATCTCTACTAAAAATACAGAAATTAGCCGGGCCTGGTGGCAGGTGCCTGTAATCCCAGCTACCCACTGTAATCTCCAAGCCTGAGGCAGGAGAATTGCCTGAACCTGGGAGGCAGAGGTTGCAGTGAACTGAGATCATGCCACTGCACTCCAGCCTGGGCGACAAGACCGAGACTCTGTCTCAAAAAATAAAAATAAAAAATAAAAAAAGGAAAGAAAAACCCATTTTTTGCGGAGAAATTCAAGTTGGTTGCAGAAATTTGCATAAGTAGCAAGGAGCCTAATGTTAATCCCCGTGGGGGATTAACACCATGGGGAAAGCGTCTCCAGGCCATGTCAGAGACCTCACGGCAGCCCCTTCCCTCACAGGCCCAGAGGCCCAGGAGGAAAAAGTGGTTTTCTGGGCCAGGCCCAGGGTCCCTGTGCTATATGCAGCCTAGGGACTTGGTGCCCTGTGTCCCAGCCAGTCCAGGCATGGCTGAAAGGGGCCAATCTAGAGCTTGGCCTGTGGCTCAGAGGGTGGAAGCCCCAAGCTTTGGCAGCTTCCAAGTGGTGTTAAGCCTGTGGGTGCACAGAAGTCAAGAATTGAGGTTTGGGAACCTCCGCCTGGATTTCAGAAGATGTACGGAAACACCTGGATGCCCAGGCAAAAGTTTGCTGCTGGCGCGCTCATGGAGAACCCCTGCTAGGGCAGTGTGGAAGGGAAATGTGGGGTCAGAGCCCCCACACAGTCCCTACTGAGGCACTGCCTAGTAGAGCTGTGAGAAGAGGGCCACCGTCCCTTCAGACCCTAGAATGGTAGATCCACGAACGGCTTGCACCATGCACCTGAAAAAGCTGCAGACACTCAATGCCAGCCCATGAAAGCAGCCAGGAGGGAGGGAGACTGTACCCTGCAAAGCCACAGGGGTGGAGCTGCCCAAGACCATGGGAAGCCACCTTTTGCATCAGCTTGACCTGGATGTGAGACCTGGAGTCAAAGGAGATAATTTTGGAGCTTTAAAATTTCACTGCCCTACTGGATTTTGGTCTTGCATGGGCCCTGTAACGCCTTTGTTTTGGCCAATTTCTCCCATTTGGAATGGCTATATTTACCCCCACTGTATCTACGAAGTAACTAGCTTGCTTTTGATTTTACAGGCTCATAGGCGGAAGGGGCTTGCCTTGTCTCAGATGAGATTTTGGACTATGGACTTTTGGGTTAATGCTGAAATGAGTTAAGACTTTGGGCGACTGTTGGGAAGGCATGATTGGTTTTGAAATGTGAGGACATGAGATTCGGAGGGGCCAGGGGCGGAATGATATGGTTTGGGATTTAAATCTCAACTTGAATTGTATTTCCCAGAATTGCCACATGTTGTGGGAGGGACCCAGAGGGAGGTAATTGCATCATGGGGGCCAGTCTTTCCCGTGCTATTCTCATGATAGTGAATAAGTCTCACGACATCTGATGGGTTTATAAGGGGTTTCTGCTTTTGCTTCCTCCTCATTTTTCTCTTGCCGCCGCCACATAAGAAGTGCCTTTCACCTCTCGCCATGATTCTGAGGCCTCCCCAGCTATGTGGGACTGTAAGTCCAATTAAACCTCTTTTTGTTCCCAGTTTCAGGTGTGTCTTTATTGGCAGCGTGAAAATGGACTAATGCAGATGGGAAGTTGCACTTAACAGCACGGACAGTATGATCCCGTTTTGTTTACAAATAAAATGTTTATTTATCCACAATCTTCACTCAGTTTCGGACTGAGAGGCGAAATTATAGGCAATTTTTCCATTTTCTTTTTGATACTCCTCTGTATATTCTGAATCTTTGATACCAGGCATGCATTACTCTGCAATCAGAAAGCAAAAGAGGTTTCTATTTTGAAGAGAAGAAAAGCATTTAATTTAAGGACCAGATCTTTTAGAGACCTGACTGAGGCTTCATTGTTACTGTTTTTATCTAAAAGGAGATGTCAGCCAAGTGTCCCTGATCCCAGCAGGGAGACTTTTACCCCATGCACACAGAGCCTTTATCCTTACCTCTACAGGAAGGTAAATACTACAGTGAGGAGGCCGAGGTGGATCTGCGGGACCCTGGCAGAGACTATGAGTTATACAAGTACACCTGCCAGGAGCTACAGAGGCTGATGGCTGAGATCCAAGACCTGAAGAGCAGGGGTGGCAAGGATGTGGTAAGGAGTGGGACCAGGTGGCCGTGAACCTGGTGGGTTTACATAGATGAGGCTGTTTTTGCACCTACCAGGGCCCTTCCTGATCTTGATCTTCTGTCCTAGCCATGATCAGGTGATTGGAGCCTGAGGGCTCCCAAAACCTGTGAATTTATTGGAACTTCTTATCACCATTCAGTCACCAATTACAGGAATGAAAGTACAGGATAATTAATTTTTTCCCTACTAATTTGATCATTCATCCAATTAATATTTATTAAGTGCCAGGCATTTTGCTAGGTGTTGAGAAATGATGGTACTTATACATTTGCTTGATACAAAGATGGATGTGTACAAGTAAATTGTAGATACCAAAAATGAAATTATCATTAATAGTAAATGAATAAATGAGGTTTTAGGGGCAGAGAAATTAAACAATGTGACTAAAAACTCGATAGATAAGTTTTTTAAAATCCATTTTTTCCCCCAGGAATCTCACGTATTTGTGCTTATGCTGACAAGTTTTGTTAGAATTATTGCATTCAATCTATTCTAGCCAAGCTTTATGGCTATAATTCTGTTATTTTCCATTTAAGTTATCCTGTAATGTTATTTATAGAGGTCAAATTTTATGACAAGATGTTACTATTGCTGGGATCTCTGTGTAGGATCTGTAGAGATAGATTGTGCCTTTGCTGCCCTTATTCCATCTTCAATTCCTGTTACTCTAGTCCAAGCAGAAATTACTTTTTTTTGCCCGAGATTCTTAATCATTTTCCTTATACAATCATCCTCTTATTTTCTTCATGACCCTTCTCATGGTTCTGAGCTCCCTCCGGTGCCGTTTTTGGCCCCAGATGAGGATGGGTCAGTGGTGAAGGACTGAAGGAAGCTGAGCTAGCCCTGTCGTCAGTGGGCTTTACTGTTTTCTTTGCCCACAGGCAATAGAAATAGAAGAACGGAGGATCCAGAGCTGTGTGCATTTCATGACTCTAAAGAAGCTTAACCGATTAGCCCACATCAGGTTGAAGAAAGGAAGAGATCAGACCCACGAGGTAGTAGTTAAAAGGTTTAATTTTAACCTTCCTCCTTCCTCCTCCCCATCCCCTTCTTTTTTTTTTTTTTTTTTTTTTTTTGAGACAGAGTCTCGTTCTGTCCCCCAGGCTAGAGTGCAGTGGCACGATCTCAGCTCACCACATCCTCTGCCTCCCAGCTTCAAGCGATTCTCCTGCCTCAGCCTCCTAAGTAGCTGGGATTACAGGCACCTCCCACCACCATGCCTGGCTAATTTTTGTATTTTTTAGTAGAGATGGGGTTTCACCTTGTTGGCCAGGCTTGTCTTGAACTCCTGAGCTCAGGTGATCCACTCGCCTCGGCCTCCCAAAGTGCTGGGATTACAGGCGTGAGCCACTGCACCCAGCCCCATCCCCTTCTTTATTCCCTTTACACCTTCTCTTAGTTTGCTGACCCTCTCCTCTGCTCCATCCTGACTTGCCCTGCTCACTTCTGATCGTATTTTCCTTTCAGGCTAAGCAGAAAGTAGATGCCTATCATCTGCAGCTCCAGAACCTGTTGTATGAGGTGATGCACCTACAGAAGGAGATCACCAAATGTTTGGAGTTTAAGTGAGTTTGGGAGGACAGGGCTTTGGCACATGTGGTCTTTCGGTAACTGCTTTTTCCCATGTAGCTCACTGTAAGTCTGTTTCTTTTTTTTTTTTGAGACGGAGTCTTGCCCTGTCACCCAGGCTGGAGTGCAGTGGCGCAATCTCAGCTCACTGCAACCTCCACCTCCCGGGTTCAAGCAATTCTCCTGCCTCAGCCTTCTGAGTAGCTGGGATTGCAGGCGCCCACCTCCACATCCAGCTAATTTTTGTATTTTTAGTAGAGACGGGGTTTTGCCATGTTGGCCAGGCTGTTCTCGAACTCCTGACCTCAGGTGGTCCTCCCGCCTCGGCCTCCCAAAGTGCTGGGATTACAGGCGTGAGCCACCGCTCCCAGCCTAAGTCTCTCTTTAAAAAGAAATCTGATGAGCTTAGAAAACTGTAGGATCTGGGAGAAGGGCAAATTGCAAGGGTGAATGTGGGAGAATTGCAAGCCGTGATTTCAGGCTGCATAAAGAACCTCAGAAGTCTCTCTGACCTTTTTGAGTTTTGAGCTCTGCACTTGGTAAAAAGCAGGTCTCTCTCCCTATCAGGGGTCTTTACATTACCAGTTTGATTTCTGGGCATGTTGTATGGGAGCAACTCACTTCCAGTCACATTCTTTTAACCTTTTGGCCCAGTTTTCCTTTCTGTAGTCCCAGCAGTTCATTTCTGCAAATGGATTTTATTCTTTGGAACCTGAATTTCTTGCTGCTTAGCTGCCTTCAGGTGAAGAAACTACAGTTTGTCAGTGTCCTTCCTCAAAACCAAGCTGAGAGATGAGAAGGAGGAAGGAGTAAACGGGAAGAGAAGGGGAAGTGTTCTCACTTGATCAGACCTGTTTATGCAAACTGAAAGCAGCTTTTATCTGTAACAAACTTGACATATGCAGGGGCCCTATTAGACATTGGGTCCAGGATATATATATATATATATATATATATATATTTTTTTTTTTTTTTTTTTTTTTTTTTTTTTTTGGAGATGGAGTCTTGCTCTGTCGCCCAGGCTGGAGTGCAGTGGCGTGATCTCGGCTCACTGCAAGCTCCGCCTCCCGGGTTCACGCCATTCTCCTGCCTCAGCCTCCCGAGTAGCTGGGACTACAGGCGCTTGCCACCACGCCCGGCTAATATTTCGTGTTTTTAGTAGAGACAGGGTTTCACCGTGTTAGCCAGGATGGTCTCGATCTCCTGATCTTATGATCCGCCTGCCTCAGCCTCCCAAAGTGCTGGGATTACAGGCGTGAGCCACCACACCCGGTGGGTCCGGAATATTTTTAATAATCATGATACTGATTGATTGTTTTGTTTTTTGTCTTTTTTTTTTTTTTTTTTTGAGACAGGGTCTCACTCCTGTCACCCAGGCTGGTGTGGTGGCACAATCCTGGCTCACTGCAGCCTTGACTTGACTTGGCTCAGATGATCCTCCCATTTCAGCCTCCTGAGTAGCTGGGACTATTGGCATGCACCACCATGCCTGGCTAATTTTTTGTATTTTTAGTAGTGATAGGGTTTTGCCATGCTGGGCTAGTCTCAAACTCCTGGTTGCAAATGATCCACCTGCCTTGGCCTCCCAAAAGGGTAAGATTAAAGGTGTAAGCCACCAAGCCTGGCCTGATGCTGATTTTTTTCTTTTCTTTTCTTTTCTTTTTTTTTTAAAGATAAAGTCTCGCTCTGTTGCCCAGGCTGGAGTGTGGTGGCGTGATCTTGGCTCATTGCAACCTCTGCCTCCTGGGTTCAAGCGATTGCATGCATGAGCCACCACACCCAGCTAATTTTCGTATTTTTAGTAAAGACAGGGTTTCACCATGTTGGCCAGGCTGGTCTCAAACTCCTGACTTCAGATGATGCACCCATTTCGACCTCCCAAAGTGCTAGAATTACAGGCATGAGCCACTGTGCCCAGCCCTGATGCTGATTTTTGAGAGGCATCTTTATCTGTTCCACAAAATCGTCACATAACAATAGTTAAATATGAATAGAGGTGAAATCTGCATCAGGTCTGTACTTGAGTTAATAATATTGTACCAGTGTCAGTTCCTGGTTTTGACAATGTATAATGTGGTTAGATAAGATAGTATCATTGGGTGAAGGGTACATGGAGGAAATACATTCTAAGTATTATTTTTGAAACTTCTTGGAGTCTTAAACTATTTCCAAATTAAAAAGGTATCAAAAACAAAATAATGTGATGCACTGGTCTGTAATCATCACCCAAATGGAAACTGACAAACCCAGAATACAGTGGAACTTGCGCCTGTTGGGAGGCAGACGGCCACATGGAAGGAGCATAGGCCTTGAAGTTACACAGCCTGGGTTCAAATCCCAGCTTGGCCACTCCCTAGCTGTGGACCTTGGGCAAGCTGCTTACTGATAGAAGCCTCCATCTCAGTCAAAAAATGGAGATTAAAACTCCCCACCTCTTAGAGTTGTTGTGAGGCTTAAATGAGGTGAGGATGACATATAGTGGGTGCTTATTAATATATGATAGCTGCCGTTATCATTACTGTCATCTGACCATAACCTGAGCAGTCAACTATGTTAATACAGCAAAGAGGGTTGGATTTTTTTGAGATGGAGTCTCGCTCTGTCTCCCAGGCTGGAGTGCAATGGCGCAATCCTGGCTCACCGCAACCTCTGCCTCCTGGGTTCGAGCGATTCTCCTGCCTCAGCCTCCTAAGTAGCTGGGATTACAGGCATGCGTCACCACGCCCAGCTAATTTTTAGTAGAGACGGGGTTTCACCTTGTTGATCAGGCTGGTCTCGAACTCCTGACCTCAGGTAATCCACCTGCCTTGGCCTCCCAAGGTGCTGGGATTACAGGGGTGAGCCACCGCGCCTGGCAGAATTTCTTTTCTTTTATACATATAAATCACTATGCATGCAACGGTTTAAGCCTCTAGATCTTTTTCCATCCAGTTCTCCCATGCTGGATCTTCCTCATTCTGTTCTTACGCGGCTAATGTCTTGAACTTAAGTGCAGACCCTTGTATTTATTCCTGTTAAATTATGTCTTGCTTTCAACCCTACAGCCTAGGCCCAGGCTGTAGTGTTTTTACTTGACTTTTTAGCTAGTAGTTCTCCTGCTCAGCTTGGAGACATTTGTAAATTTGATAAGAATCCCTTCCGAGTCTTTAATTCATGGGTAAAAAGGTTGGACAGCATGGATAAGGATCCTATGGCATGTCACCAACTACCTTTCTTCACACTGAAATATCTGCTAATGAGCATTTGTGGAGAAGACTGGATTCCAGGATCCTGTAGACCAGGACTAAGCAGGCATATGTTGGGGATAACTTTGGGCCTGCTTAAACTACAGTTTAGTTTCCTGAGAACAGCAGCTTGATGTCATGTTTTTGTCTGTAGGTCAAAGCATGAAGAAATTGATCTGGTCAGTTTAGAGGAGTTTTATAAGGAGGCTCCACCAGATATCAGCAAGGCCGAAGTCACCATGGGAGACCCTCACCAGCAAACACTGGCACGTCTGGACTGGGAGCTGGAGCAGCGGAAAAGGTAGCATTTCCTCCTTCCTGACCTTTTAACCACAAAGTGTCAGTGCTTTGTCATGACCCAGGATAAGGCAGCAAAACACTGTGCAACTCTCAGAATAGTTTCTAAGACCAAATCCCATTTTATGATTAAATCACACTGGATAGTTTAAACTTCACCAACCTCATCATGGATGGGGTTGGGGTTATAATTGCTTAAGGGTTTTTTTTTTTTTTTTTTTTTTGAGATGGAGTCTCACTCTGTCTCCCAGGCTGGAGTGCGGTGGTGTGATCTCAGTTCACTGCAACCTCTGCCTCCCAGGTTCAAGTGATTCTCAGTCCTCAGCCTCCCGAGTAGCTGGGTGGTAGGTGTGCACCACCACGCCCATCTATTATTTGTATTTTTTGTAGAGATGGGGTTTCACCATGTTGGCTAGGCTGATCTCAAACTCCTGACCTCAAGTGATCTGCCTGCCTTGGCTTCCCAAAGTGCTGGGATTACAGACGTGAGCCACTGTGCCTGGCCCTTTTTTTTTTTTTTTTTTTTTTTTTTCCAAAGAGATGGCGTTTCACTCTATTGCTCAGGATGGAGTGCTGTGGCACTATCACGACTCACTTCAGCCTTGACCTCCTGGGCTCAAGCGATCCTTCTGCCTCAGCCTCCCAAGTAGCCAGGACTATGGGTGCCTGCCACCATGCCTGGCTAATATTTTTATTTTTGTAGAGCAGGGTTCTCACTCTGTTACCCAGGCTGGTCTTGAATTCCTGGCTTCAAGTGATCCTCCCACCTTGGCCTCCCAAAGTGCTGGGATTACAGGTGTGAGTTACCATGCCTGGTCTCTCCTTGAAATTTTAATGCCGAAGACCTTATCTTTTGTACCATAAATCTAATTTTGTATTTGCCTTTCCCCTTATCTGTAAGTGTATGCCTATGGCAGAAAGCTTTGTAAACACTATTTCAGGAGGTTGTGCAACATTCTAGTGTATATTCTGGTGTATAGAAAAATGCACAAAATTATTCCCCTGTTGGATTTTAGGTTGTTTCCATTTTTTGCTGTCATAAATAATGCTTCAGCCAGGCGAGGTGGCTCACGTCTGTAATCCCAGCACTTTGGGAGGCCAAGGCAGGCGGATCACAAGGTCAGGAGATCGAGACCATCCTGGCTAACATGGTGAAACCCCGTCTCTACTAAAAATATAAAAAATTAGCCGGGCATGGTGGCGGGTGCCTGTAGTCCCAGCTACTCAGGAGGCTGAGGCAGGAGAATGGCGTGAAGCCGGGAGGCAGAGGTTGCAGTGAGCCGAGATTGCGCCACTGCACTCTAGCCTGGGCGACAGAATGAGACTCCGTCTCAAAAAATAAATAAATAAATAATGCTTCAAGTCACACTTTAGGTATAAACTTTTCTATATGAATAAAGAGGTTTATTTATTTATTTATCTATTTATTTATTTATTTTTTTGACACAGAGTTTCACTCTTGTCGCCCAGGCTGGAATGCAATGGTGTGATCTCGGCTTGCTGCAACCTCCACCTCCCTGGTTCAACCAATTCTCCTGCCTCAGCCTCCTGAGAAGCTGGGACTACAAGGCGTGTGCCACCACGCCCAGCTAATTTTTGTATTTTTAGTAGAAGCGGGGTTTCACCATGTTGGCCAGGATGGTCTCTACCTCTTGACCTCGTGATTCACCTGCCTCGGCTTCCCAAAGTGTTGGGATTACAGGCGTGAGCCACTGTGCCCGGCCAATTTTTGTATTTTTAATAGAGTTGGGGGTTTCACCTCCGCCTCCCCAGTTTAAGCGATTCTCCTGTCTCAGCCTCCTGAGTAGCTGGGATTACAGGCGCATGTCACTGTGCCCAGCTAATTTTTGTATTTTAGTAGAGACGGGTTTCACCATGTTGGCCAGGCTGGTCTCGAACTCTTGACCTCAGGTGATCCGCCTGCCTGGGCCTCCCAAAGTGCTGGAATTACAGGCATGAGCCACCATTCCCGGCCGAGTCTGGTTCTTAGGAAATTTGTGTCAGTGTCTTAGCAGATGGGGCTGACCTGTCACTCCGCTGTCCAGTCCACTGATTGTGCTGGGCACTGACTCAGCCATCAGTGCTGCATTCTTGTGGCACTGGTCCAGAATCTGTTCCCACCCTGTGCTAACCAGGCCAGTCCATGGGCCTCTTTTGGGTTATATAGCTGCTAAGTCCATGTTTGTGAAAGTTTTAGGTCTTACCTCTCAAGCAAGAAATGGAGCAGAAGATGGCATGTGTATTCCCTAGTGGTTACAGAGCAGACAGAGCCTCTGGAGAGCAAGAGACATGGATCCAAAGCCTAGCGCAGTGTTTGTTCTTAGCTGGATGCCCTTGGGCAAGTTATCTACTTGCCTGAGCCTTGGTTTCCTCCTTTGGGGATAAGCAAAGTCCCTGTCTTCCAGGGTCTTTATAAGTATTAAATGTAATTATGCTTTTAAAGAGCTCACCAAAGTACCTGGCACACATTGAGTGCTGGATAAACATTGGCAGTTAATCATGGCTGCTACTATTAGGTGGAGTCTGACAGTGAACAGGCATGTTGAGGTATCACTGGGGGATATCAGGTGACAATGCTCTTTCCTCCCCCAACAGGCTGGCAGAGAAGTACCGAGAGTGCCTATCTAACAAGGAGAAGATTCTCAAGGAGATTGAGGTGAAGAAGGAGTACCTGAGCAGCCTCCAGCCCCGCCTCAACAGCATCATGCAGGTGGGGCCCTCTGGCCTTTTGCTTTGCCTTCACCACTGACCAGGCGCTGCCAGAAGTCATGTCACCCTTTGGGCTTTGCCAGGTCTATTACCCTAAATTAGAGTATAGTATAAGGATGGCCTTGTCTGCATCCCTACCCAGTTGGTGTGATAAGCTTGTGTCTGGGAGGAAGAAGTGCTGGCCTCAGGAATATATACACACATTGACCTGGGTGTTTTCATCCAGAGGCCTTCTCTGGGTAACGTACTTTCTCAGACTGTGTAAATTTAGTTTACCCCCTGCATGGCCCCCACCGGCCTCACAATCTCCAGGCATCTAAACTTGCTTCCTGTGGATGTCTGTTTGATCCCCCGACCATGCTTCAGGGTCAGACTGCTCAGCAGATCTTCTCACTCTGAAAAAAACTTTACTCATGAGGAAGAGTCAACACTTCGCCTGTAAAACATAATGTCTTTCTGTATAGGTGATCCACTTTTTATTTGCTTTGCGAAGCCAGATTTGGTCTAAATCCTTATAATTTTATGAAGCAAGATGGCTAATATGAAAGAACTTTGTAAAAGGATCCTAGAGATAAATTTGCTTTTCTTCTTAGGATTTGGCAAGATCTATATTTCCTTTCTTCAACTGTAAGCGTAGAAGGAGAGTTGTTGACTGCTTGTGGTGCCTCATGCCTGTAATCCTAGCACTTCGGGTGGCTGAGGGGGGAGGATCACTTGAGCCCAGGAGTTTGAGACCAGCCTGGGCAATATCGGGAGACCCCGCCTCTACAAAAAAAAATTAACTGGGCATGGTGGCCTGTGCCTGTCGTCCCAGCTACTTGGAAGGCTGAGGCAGGAGGATCGCTCCAGCCTGGGTGATAGAGCAGAAATTAAAAGTTTTGGTTGTACTTAACCAAAGCCTCTGCATGGTTAAATTTTCTCTTGTTACCTGGAAATTTTCTAAATGTCCTTAAATAGGGTACAGGTTAAATAAATTCTTGTATGGTACAGCCTTAGAGCTGTGATGAAAGTATGGAATCAAACCACTGATATTTGAACCACTGACAGAATAACTGAAATATGAAAGAAGATCTGTCATATTAAATAAGAAATGCAAGTTGTAGAACATATAGTATGGACTCATTTCTATACCTTGGTTTACAAAGTATCTGTAGGGATATATACAAGTAGGAGTTGGGTATATGCGGTATATGCTTGGAAAAGTCTATATTCATAGCAGACCATTAGCAGCTACTTTGAGGACTGGGAACTGGGAGCTTTTGTTTTACAAACTTGAATACCACTTTTTTTTTTTTTCCTTTTCCTTACCCACCTTTGCCACCGCCCCCCATGACTTTAAAATGCTTTTTTTTTTTTTTTTTTTGGAGACAGAGTTGCTCTGTCGCACAGGCTGGAGTGGAGTGGCGCCATCTCGGCTCACTGCAACCTCTGCCTCCCAGGTTCAAGTGATTCTCCTGCTCTGCCTCCTGAGTAGCTGGGTTTACAGGCACCCACCACCACACCTGGCTAATTTTTGTATTTTTAGTAGAGATGGGGTTTCATCATGTTGGCCAGGCTAGTCTTGAACTCCTAACCTCAGGTGATCTGCCTGCCTCGGCAAAGTACTGGGATTATAGGCATGAGCCCCCACACCCGGCCTAAAATGCTTTTTTTTTTTTTTTTTTTTGAGACAGAGTCTCGCTCTATCACCCAGGCTGGAGTGCAGTGGCGCAATCTTGGCTCACTGCAAGCTCTGCCTCCTGGGTTCACGCCATTCTCCTGCCTCAGCCTCCTGAGTAGCTAGAACTACAAGCGCCTGCCACCATGCCCAGCTAATTTTTTGTTTTGTATTTTTAGTAGAGACGGGGTTTCACCATGTTAGCCAGGATGGTCTCGATCTCCTGACCTTGTGATCTGCCCGCCTCGGCCTCCCAAAGTGCTGGGATTACAGGCGTGAGCCACCACACCCAGCCTAAAATGCTTTTTATTTTACTTTATATATTGTACAATTGGTCCTCATGCACTGTGCAGAATCTGCAAACTTGAAACTCAAGGCGATCTAGTTCAGTCTTTCCCGAGTCAAGAAAAAAAAGAAAAAAAAAAACAGAAGAAAAGCACACAAATAAAATCTCTGAAACAAAACCTGAATTCATTGCCTAAGGTCTTGAATACAACTTTTAAAAACAGTGTACCATATATTACTTTAAAACAGAGTTTTTTATACAGAAAAGCATGTAACTCGCAAGTGTATGGCTCAATGAATATTCACTAAGCAAACACATCTGTATAACCAGCACCCAAAATCCCAGAGAAAGAACATTAACAATTTCCTGGAAGCTCCTTTATTCCCCCTCGCAGTCCCTATCTTCCCTCACACCCCAGTAACCATAATCTTGACATCTTAACATCATAGGTTAGTTTTGCCTATTTTTGAACTCTATACAAAGAGAATCATAGTATATACTCCTATGTCTGGCTTCTTTTGTTCAGCAGTATGTTTCTAAGATTCATCTGTGCTATTGTGAGTACAAGAGTTTGTTTTCATTGATGTTTAGTAATTGGTTGTTTCCGGTTTAGGGCCATTTCAATAATGCTGCTATGAGCATTCTTATACATGTGTTTTGGCATACATGTGTACATCTGTCTGTTGAATATATACCCAGGAATGAAATTCTAGGTCATACAGTATGTTATACATATATTTAGCTTTTGTAGACACTGAAACAGTTTTCTAAACTGGTTGTACCGATTTACAGAAATTCCCACCAGCACCATATGCAAGTTCTAATTGTTTTACATCCTTGTCAACACTTTATACTGTCAGTCTCCTTAATTTTGGCTACTCTGGAGGGTATCTCATTATAGTTTTAATTTTTATTTCCCTGAGGACTAGTGATGTTGAACACAGCACATTTTGCCTTTTGGATAACCTCTTGTGATGGGTCTAGGCAAGTCTTTTGCCTGTTTTCTGTTGGGTTGCCTGGAGATGAGTTTTTTCCCAGGTCTTCCCCATTCTGTAACCTCCTGCCTTTTCACTTTGCTAATGGTATCTTTTAATGAGTGCATGTTCCTAATTTTACTAATTATTCTTTTCCTTTATGGTTAGTACTTTTTTTGTGTCTTGTTTAAGAAATCTTTCTATTTAAATCTGTTGTCATCCTGGAAGTGATTTTGTTAGTTAAGGGTAAAGATTCATTTTTTCTTTCCACATAGGTATTTAGCTGACCATTTATTGAAGACATTCTCTTTCCACTGCTCTGTAGTGCCACTTTTGTTACAAATCAAATGTCTTTGTACATGTGGATATGTGTATAATCTCTGTGTCCATCCTTGCACAGTATCACACTGTCTTATTTACTGTGGCTTTATCAGAAGTCTCGATGCACAGTTCCAACCTATTTCTTCAGGATTGTCTTGGTTATTCTTGGCCCTTTGCATTTACATACAAGTTTCAGAATCAGGTTGTCTGTTTTCACCTGCTGGGATTTTGACAGGGATTGCATTGAATCTGCAGACCACTTTAGAATAAATTGTTACCTGGACAATATTTGAGTCTTCCAGGCCATTGACATTCACATGTATCCACTTATTTTAGACTTTTCATTTCTCAGGTTTTTGTGTAGAGGCTTATATGCCTTTCATTTGTTTATTTTATTTTGTTTTATTTTGAGGCAGGGTCTTGCTCTCTTGCCCAGGCTGGAGTGCAGTGGTACAATCTTGGCTCACTGCAACCTCCGTCTCCCAGGTTCAAGTAATTCTTCTGCCTCAGCCTCTGGAGTAGCTGGGATTACAGGTGCGTGCCCCCACACTTGGCCAATTTTTGTATTTATAGCAGAGATTGGGTTTCACCATGTTGGCCAGGCTGGTCTCAAACTCCTGACCTCAGGTGATCCACCTGCCTCGGCCTCCCAAAGTGCTGGGATTACAGGCATGAGCCACTGCACCCAGCCTGCTTGTTTATTATTTTTTGTTTGTTTTTTGAGACAGAGTTTTGCTCTTGTTGCCCAGGCTGGAGTGCAATGGCATGATCTCGGCTCACCGCAACCTCCACTTCCTGGATTCAAGTGATGCTCCTGCCTCAGCCTCCCGAGTAGCTGGGATTACAGGCATATGCCACCACGCCCAGCTAATTTTGTATTTTTTTTAGTAGAGACGGGGTTCTCTGTGTCCGTCAGGCTGGTCTTGATCTCCCGACCTCAGGTGATCCATCTGCCTCAGCCTCCCAAAGTGCTGAGATTACAGGCGTGAGCCACTATGCCCGGCCTGTTTATTCTTATTTGATGTTTTATTGATGGTATTGAAATGGCATCTTTTTATAATTTCTTTTTTTAAATTGATTTTTATTTTTTGTGGAAATGGCATCTCGCTAAGTTACCCAGGCTGCTCTTGAACTCCTGGCCTCAAGTGATCCTCCTGCCTCAGCCTCCCAAAGTGCTGGGACTATGGGCATGAGCCAGGGTGCCCTGACAGTAGGTAAAATAAAACAATTTTATTTCCTTACTGTTTGTTGCTAGTATAAAGAAATATAATTTTGTTTACGTTGAGCTTTTATCCACCTATTAGTTCTATTAGTTTATCATGTATCACTTTTATAAATAATGATTTACGGTCACTAAGTAGCCACTTTTTCCTGTGTGGACTGGCTAAAAAAGGAAGAACAAAAATCTGTCTCTTGTGTGCAGGCTTCCCTTCCGGTGCAGGAGTACCTGTTTATGCCATTCGACCAGGCTCACAAGCAGTATGAGACAGCCAGACACCTGCCGCCTCCCCTCTATGTCCTCTTTGTTCAGGCCACTGCGTATGGGCAGGCCTGTGGTGAGTATGGGGCCTGGGTGAGGACAAGGGGCTATGGGAGCAGCAGCTGTGGCCGAGTGAATCAGTTGGAAGCAGTACCTGCTCAGGAAATTTCTCAGTCCTGCCCGAAGCCCTCAGGTGACAGAAGCTTTCTTCCCTCTGCATTGCCCAGCATGGCTGCTCTGACCAGCTGGCCTAAGGCTGGATTAACCTGATGGGTATTTCACAATGGGTGGCTTTGAGTCATTCGTGAGCCTGGCTGGACAGCTCTTGGGTGCAGAACCCAGGCAGCCTGTCTGGGCTCCCAGGTGCTCACCCCATCAAGGCACGCTTGGCAGTTAGATCAGTGCCTCTTGCTCTGCTTCAGGGTGGGGGTGCCTGGTGAATACAGGTCTCAGCCAGCTCTCCCAGGCTTTCACCATGCCTTGAATCAGGCTGCATGTCTTTGTTGTGAATTTCCAGGTTAGATGATATGTCCTCATTAAGCTTGAGGGCAGCCTGTGACTCTGCTAGGGTTTTGAGAAAATTTTGGAGACTCTGCCTTTTGCCCTAATGCAGCTTTCACCCAGCACCTACATTTTCTCCCCCACCCCACCCCACCTCATCAGACAGACATACACCGCACCAGTGCTTGCTTCTCCTCCCACCTTGGGCACCAACACATTACTGTCTCTTCTTGTGTCTTCCTCGTCCTTCTGGTCCTCCCCTCCCCTTTGTTCTCCCTCCTGTTTCCATCATCAGCTCATATGAAATCCTCCCAGCCCCCTAGACAGGGTGAGTAATTTTCTTTTCTTTTATGTTTAAAATCGGCCTGTTCCATTCTGATGTTCTTGTAGAATGCTAATATTAAATGGCTGAAAAAAATAGTCTGTTGTTTGCCAGTGCTTGATGGGAGCAACTAGTTGCTTGGGGTGAAGGGTGGTGATTCACATAGGGTTGCCATAGATAAGGCAGTGGTCAGCCACTTGGGGGAAGTTTGCCATCCCTCCTTAGTGTGGCTAGGCAAACCGTTTCAGGCTCTTGGGACCATATGTACCCTTAAGAATGGAGTTGGACGGTGGTGGCCTGTCTGACCTCACAACGCTAGACCCTCAGAGGGGGTCTCAAGACATCACTCAATGAGGTGTCATACCTGGTGTATGCAACAGGCTGTTAGCTCATGTGCTGGAGAGGCCAAGCTTAAGTTGAACAGACCTGGTCTTGAATCCTGGTTTATCAGCCTTATAGCTGTGATGTCTAGCTTCTCTGAGCCTTAAGTTTCTCATCTATAAATGGCTATAATGTATTACTCCTGTAGGGTTGTTGTGAGTATTAAAAAAAATTTTTTTTTTTGAGATGGAGTCTGGCTCTGTTGCCCAGGCTGGAGTGCAGTGGCATGATCTTGGCTCACTGCAACCTCTGCTTCCCAGGTTCAAGCAATTCTCCCTGCCTCAGCCTCCCAAGTAGCTGGGATTACAGGCACCCACCACCGTGCCTGGCTAATTTTTATATATTTAGTAGAGACAGAGTTTCACCATGTTGGCCAGGCTGGTCTCGAACTCCTGATCTCAGGTGATCCACTCACCTTGGCCTCCCAACCAGACATGAGCCACCACACCCAGCCTAAAAATTAATTTTTAATAATTTTATAATTAAAATTACAAGCATCAGCTCATTCAGTCCCCACCACTAATGGGGCAGCTACTGTTTTTCTTTTTTCTTTTTTTTTTGAGACAGAGTCTCACTCTGTTGCCCAGGCTGCAGTGCAGTAGCATGATCTTGGTTCACAGTAACCTCCACCTCCTGGATTCAAGCAATTCTCCTGTCTCAGCCTCCCAAGTAGATGGGGTTACAGGCACATGCCACCACACACAGCTAATTTTTGTATTTTTAGTACAGACGGGATTTTGCCATGTTGGCCAGGCTGGTCTCTGAACTCCTGACCTCAGGTGATCCACCTGCCTCGGCCTCCCAAAGTGCTGAGATTACAGGTGTGAGCCACTGCACCCGGCAGCTACTATTTTTCAAGTCCCCTTTTCATAGATACAGAAACTGAGGCTCAGACAGTGACATAACTTTCCAGGTCATGTGTTTGAGAATTGGTTAGGCAGGGACTCAGGTCTGGAACTGGACTGCAAGATCCAAGTTCCTATTCACTGTCCTACTGCCTCCCAGTTAAGTGAGACAATGGCAGCCATGTGCTTGGTATAGTGTAGAATAGAGAATAAGCACTTAGGTGAGAGTCATTGTTTCTGGGATGTGGACAGGTGTGGATTTCTGGGTGAGAACCTCTAAGACAACTGGCAGAGGAGTTCCATGTGGCTTTAGGCCCTCAGTTTGAATTTCTGTGCTTTGGTGTGCACCAAAAAAGAGAGGCATTCACTGCTAGTTTCAGGTGATGCTGGTTTAGGAATTTGTACTTAAGTTCTCTGTTCTCAGTAAATGACGGAAAAAAAAGCTTAAGTGTCCCACCTTGTTTCCCTTCATCTGGAGCAAGGACTTTTGCCCTTCCACCCTTAGTCAGCAAGGAGCTGGGCAGAGGTGGGAGAAATGCAGCCCCAGAGCTGGCCTACTCACACTGCTTAGCAGCTTTCCTCAGCAGCTTTCCTAACAGACTTCTTCTTGCCCCCCAGATAAGACGTTATCTGTGGCAATCGAAGGCAGTGTGGATGAAGCCAAGGCTCTGTTCAAACCTCCAGAGGACTCCCAAGGTAATGTGGTGGTTGGGATTCGTCCCCCAGGGACACCAGGTCACCATCCAAGGGCAGTCCTGGTCTTTGGAGAACTAGCTGGACTAGTTCTGTGTAGCAGGAAGCTTGACTTGAATGTCTTAGCACCCTGGAGTAGACAGGAAAGAGAGCTCACTTCCCGGAGTCACAAGGTGCGGCCCGTGGATTTCAGCCCTGCCACTCACTAGCTGACTGACCCCGAGGAAGGTATTTAATATTTCAGAGCCTCAGTTTATTCCTTTGTGAAAACAGATAGTAACACCTCATGTAGGATTGTTATGTGGATTAAATAAGGTAATGCACATACAGCCTTTAGCATAATTCTCAGCACATAGTACCCCCTCAAGTTATGCATGCTTCTACTACTATTATTATTATTTGTGTTACTATTATTACCACAGCCACCACCACCATCACAAGGAGGGGCTTGTGTTCCATCTAAATGACATCAAAAAGCCCTTTGAAAAAAATGAGTTATACGTCATTCTTCTTTTTTCTTTTTTCATCACCATGTTTTGTATACTGAATAAGAAGCAGCAAGTTAATTTATTATTTATTACAGAGAAACTTATTTACAAAAGACAGAGTCAGGGCCCCTTTATGCCATGTGGGTTGGAGTGCTTTAGGGAGCATTTGGAGCCCCCTCACCTCTAGCTGCCTTCTCTCTGTGGCTGCAGATGACGAGAGTGACTCAGATGCCGAGGAGGAGCAGACTACGGTGAGAACCATTTCCTCTTGTGGGGGCATCAAGCAGCTGCATGCACTGGGGCATGCTTGTTCGCAGGTGCCGTCCTCCCTAGAAGCAGAAGAGGTGTGAAAGAAGGTGCTGCTGGGAGGGGAGTCTGACAACCCAGCTAGCTGAAGCAGCAGGTGCCAGGCAGTAGGGCTGAGGCCTGGCTGGTTGGGAGAGGGAAGGGGAGATTGCTATGACTGATGCTCATCAGCTTGGCACTTTCCTTTGTCCAGAAGCGCCGGAGACCCACACTGGGGGTTCAGTTGGACGACAAACGCAAGGAGATGCTGAAGAGGCACCCACTGTCTGTCATGCTCGACCTGAAGTGCAAAGGTCTGGTTGCACTCACCTTGTTTAAGGGATCTGTAGCACCTAAGAGTTCACCCAGCTGCAGGTGCAGAGGGTCCGGGAGCCAAACACCCATTTGCCCAACAAAGGATTCCCATTTCATATTGCTTTGTTTTTCCTTATTGTTTTGCATGGACTTTGTTTCTTTTTGTTAAATCATAACCGTAACAACATAGCAACAAAACTCCAGTCACATAAGGCAGAAGCTTGAGAAAACTATACCTCTTTCTGAATCTAGCAAGTCAAATATCTAGAACAAGTTGCAAAAGTATACAGGTTTTTAGTAAGACCAACATGTTTAATAAATGTAAGTAGAACTTTGTATTCTGCAGAGTATATGTTTTGAAGTTGGTTTGTATGAAAAAGTACCATATAATAAAATGTTCTAGCAGTAGAAGAGCTAACAGTAAAATTTAAGTTTCCCTCTCACCACAGGTTCCTATATACCAGTCCTAGGTCTCACCTCCAAGGGCAACCATTATTACAGACTTCTTATGTATTTTTTAGAAAGATTCTTTGCACCTGGAAGCTTTTATACAAATGTATATTTATCTGCTTCCCACTTTATTTTTTACACAAATGGAAATAGGCTCTACGCACTGGTTTTCTTTTTGCTGGTTGTTTGTTTGTTTGTTTGTTTTTAGAGATAGGGTCTCACTCTCGTCATCCAGGCTGGAGTACAGTGGCATGATCACGGCTCACTGCAACTTCAACCTCCTGGGCTCAATCGATCTTCCCACATCAGCCTCCCAAGTAGCGGGGGCTACAGGCATGTGCCATCATGCCAGTTAATTTTTGTATTTTTTGTAGAGATGGGGTTTTGTCATGTTGCCCAGGCTGGTCTTGAACCCCTGGGCTCAAACGATCCTCCTGCCTCAGCCTCCTAAGTAGCTAGGACTGGAAGCGTGCACCACCATGGCTGGCTTTGAGATAATTTTAGGCTCATAGAAGACTTGCCAAAATAACATGAGTTCCTATATACTCTTCATTCAGCTTCCCTAAAGTTACATCTTAATTAAAGATGGTATGATTAACAGCGATCCACACCACTCTTAATTTCATTGGCCCAATACTGTTAACAAAATGACAGAATTTTTTTAGTTTCTTCCTTTTTTAATTAATGTCCTTTTTCTGTCCCAAGATCCAAGCCAGGGTCTCAAAGTGCATTTAGTTGCCATGCTCCTTAGTCTGCTCTAGGCAGTGAGTGTCTCAGTCTTTCCTTGTGTTTCATGACCTTGATTAGACTGAGATTATGGATTTGGGGGAGAGAATAGCATAGATGAGGTCGTCGCTATCATGTCATATCAGGAGTACCTGATGCCACTGTATTATTTCTGCTGATATTGACCTTGATCGCTTGGTTCCCTTTCCATCTTGTATTTGTTAGAAGCAGAGTCACTAAGTCCAGCCCACTCTCAAGGGCAGAGAAATTAAGCCCTACCTCTTGGTGGGAAGCGTAGCAAAGAATTTGTAGATGCTCTCCTTGCTTCTTTTTGTTCATTATATTACTGTTGTGATTTTTTTTTTTCTTGAGACAGAGTCTCGCTCTGTTGCCCAGGCTGGAGTGCAGTGGCGTGATCTCTGCTCACTGCAAGCTCCACCTCCTGGGTTCACACCATTCTCCTGCCTCAGCCTCCCAAGTAGCTGGGACTACAGGTGCCCGCCACCACGCCCGACTGATTTTTTGTATTTTTAGTAGAGACGGGGTTTCACTGTGTTAGCCAGGATGGTCTCGATCTCCTGACTTCATGATCTGCCCACCTTGGCCTCCCAGAGTGCTGGGATTACAGGTGTGAGCCACCGCGCCTGGCCGATTTTGTTTTTATAGTAAATGATTGTAAAAGTCTCTGAATTTTTCTATAATTCTGTTTTTCTTTTTTTGTTATAATTTCAACTTTTATTTTCGATTCTGGGGATACATGTGCCGATTTGTTACACTATTTTGCGTGGTCCTGAGGTTTGGGGTATGAATGATCCCGTCACCTAGGTAGTGGGCATAATACCTAGTAGTTAGTTTTTCAACACTTGACCCCCCCACCTTACTACCCCCTATGACTCTGTTCACTCTGCTCTGAGTGTTTTGACTCATAAATTCTCTCATCTTCCTCCCCTCCAGATGACAGTGTGCTTCACCTGACTTTCTACTACCTCATGAACCTCAACATCATGACAGTAAAAGCCAAAGTGACAACTGCCATGGAGCTGATCACCCCCATCAGTGCAGGGTATTGAGCAGGCGCTCTGGGCAATGACGTGCGGGATGGGGAGGTGATGAGAGCCTCATTGTGGGGCTGCTCTCGGTTCCTCCCTCTGGCTCTGGAGAGGGCTACGGCTGTGTTGACTTGTCTTGTATCCAGATGGACCAGAAGTCCTGGCACATCGCTGGTATTTAGAAAGCACTCTCTGACTTTAATTTGTGAAGTCCTCTTACTACACAGCAGATGATAAAAGTGACAACAGCATATTTGCAAATTGAGTAGGTGGGGCAGAGCACCAGCTTTTTGCTACCAGTGGAAAGTGTGTGAATATAAAATGAGATTTGGCAGACATTATTAGGTTGCCAAATTCAGGCCACTCTTTCCCTTTTCTCTTTCTATCCCAAGGTGCTGGGATTTTTGCTCCCCAGCTCAGCCCAAGCCCATGTCCTTATCTGGGTGGTGGGAGGACTGTGGTGGGTCCCTGTGAAAGTTTTGAGAAGAGTGAGCAGAGGCACAGTAATGACAGCCATCATCGCATCCCCAGGAAGGCCCTGACTACAGTGTTCTTTTTTTAATTTCTATTTTTGTTGATACACAGTCTCACTATGTTGCCCAGACTGGAGGACCATGGCATAATCATAGCTCACTGTGGCCTCAAACTTCTGGGCTGTAGTGATCCTCCTACCTCAGCCTCCTGAGTAACTAGGACTACAGGTGCATGCCACCATGCCTGGCTGACTTTCTATTTTTATTTTATAGAAACGGGGTCTTGCTGTGTTGCCCAGGGTGGTCTTGAACTCCTGGCCTCAAGCACTCCTCCCGTCTCTGCCTCTCACAGTGCTGGAATTCCAGGCATGAGTCACCATACCTGGCCCAATCATGGCATTCTTCTTCTGCAAACATGGGCGGGAAGAAGGGTCATGCGGGGCTGAGGGTGAAATAGCTTCCATTCACAAGAGCACTGCCCTGACCTAGTCCCACTGTCAGCTGCAGAAAGACCACTGAGGCTTAGGGAGGTACAGCTCTGGTGCCTGGTAGAGCAGGGCTCTTTCCACCCCTGCCAGTTCTCCATGATGCTGGTGTCTCTTGGGTTTTAGACTGCCCTTAGAGTCCACATCCCCTTCAGGCCATAGCAGCTTTGGCTGCTGTGCCTGAGAGTGTTGTTGGACACCCCCAGGGGTGCTCTGGATGAAATTGCCCCTGTTCCCATCTGACCCCAGCAGAGGGAGCCCAGGGCTTGCTTCTGAGCACCCAGTTACACTGTCCAGGGCTCTCAGTTCATTGAGGAGTTCCAGGGCCCCCAGATCGTGGTAGAGCTCATCATGAACATTCTGCTTGTTCATTTCTCAGGTGCCCTACATGCTAATAACAGGGCTGCAGCCTGGCTTTATTGCATGCTCAACTCCAGCTCTTCACTAAGCTGTATACCTGGCCTCAGAATCTGTTTCCTCGCTGTGTGGTTGTTAATTGTAATATCCCCTCCCAGGGTGCTTGTGAAGAGTCAGGTCAAGTGCTTAGCATAGAGGAAGCACTTGGTAAAGGACAGCTGATTTATAATCATTGACTCTTGTAACTTTCACAATAGCTCTATGAGGTGAGTTAACTGAGGCTCTGGACAGTTAAGGGGTAGCCTCAAGGTCACAGGTAGAGAGTGGAGAATTATGATTCGAAGTCAGCAAGACCTGTATACCACTGCTGTCATAGCCAGGTGGGCCCTGACCCCCAAACAGGGAGGAGACATAAAAGGAGATGCCACTGTGAAACTGGGATTAGGTCTTTTAGGCCTTCAGGTGTTGTCTAGCTCATCCTCCTTTTACAAATAGAGAAACTGAGGTCCAGGGAGCATACAACCAATTATCGCAGCACTGGACCTAAAGCCCGAGACTCTGGGCTCCCAGCCCAGAAGCCTTTGCTCAAATACAGGCTGCCTTTGGCCACATGAAGACAGCAACCTGGCATACAGTTTTATTGATTTATCTATTAAAACATAAAGGGTATATTCTCACACTAATTCTTGAATCTCATACTATCATTCTAATTTCCCTGATTTTTTTCATATATTTTTTGGGGGAGGGAGTTTTCAGACAAACAATTTTTTTTAATAGTTTTGTGTTTTGAGTCTGGATCACTATAAGGCCCATACATTGCCAATGAGCAAAGCTTCTTTCAAGTATCTTATCAGAGGGTCCTGCCATCTCTTTTGTTTTCTCCTAAGATTCATTGTCTTGGGCTTTCCACCGTCTTTGTATTTGTTGGAGAAAATGGGTCGTTTGCTCTGTAGGTTCTACCTAGTCTGGATTTTGAGGACTGCGTCCCTGTGGTATCGTTAAACGTGTTCGTCTTTCTACCTGTGTGTTCTTGTGAACAGGGAGTTGGCTTAGAGACTTGATCAGATTAGGTTTTCGAAATTTTTTTGTGGTGGTGGGGTGGGTAGAGGGCAGGACTGTATCATGGCTGTTGTTGAATACTTCCATCAAGAGGCACAGGCTCTCTTTATTTTTGTGATGTTACTGTCTTGACAACTGTTGCCTAGATCCATTAATTCATTAGAGAATTTTTAAAAATCCTCCCTGACAGAGTTAATGTTTTTATTTTATTATTTATTTATTTATTTATTTATTTTGAGAAGGAGTCTCTGTGTGTCGCCCAGGCCGGAGTGCAGTGGTGAGATCTTGACTCACTGCAACCTCCACCTCCCTGGTTCAAGTGATTCTCCTGCCTCAGCCTCTCGAGTAGCTGGGATTACAGGCATGCGCCACCACGCCTGGCTGATTTTTGTATTTTTAGTGGAGATGGGGTTTTGCCATGTTGGCCAGGCCAGTCTTAAGAGTTAATGGTTTGGTTTTTTGTTTTCTTTTTTTCTTGAGACAGAGTCTCGCTCTGTCGCCCAGGCTGGAGTGCAGTGGTACGATCTCAGCTCACTGCAACCTCCGCCTCCTGGGTTCATGCAGTTCTCCTGCCTCAGCCTCCCAAGTAGCTGGGACTACAGGCGCGTGCCACCATGCTGGGCTAATTTTTGTATTTTCAGTAGAGACGGGGTTTCACCATTTCGGCCAGGATGGTCTCGATCTCTTGACCTCATGATCTGCCCGCCTCGGCCTCCCAAAGTGCTGGGATTACAGGCGTGAGCCACCACGCCCGGCCACTAAGGTTTTTTTAATCCCTTACTTTTTATCAAAATTTTATAACAAAGATTTGACTGGTTGAGAAGTTTTTTTGTTTTGGTGTTATATTTTTATGACTATAAATAGCCTTTCCTTTTATGTTCATCATTTTTACCAAGTTCAGTTGTCTTAGCCATATGTTGCAGATATAAATTTTGCCAAGAAGGTGATTCCTTCATCAGGTTTTGTCAATTAATAACCTTCATCGTGGGCAGTTTTAGTTCTGTTTTATTTATTTACTAATAGATTGAATCAATCTATTAGTAATAGTCCCTAAACACTTGCTAAAAGACTGAAAAGTTTTATTTTATTTTATTTTATTTTATTTTATTTATTTTTTTGAGACAGAGTCTCGCTCTGTCACCCAGGCTAGAGTGCAGTGGTGCAATCTTGGCTTATTGCCAGCTCCGTCTCCCGGGTTCACACCATTCTCCTGCCTCAGCCTCCCAAGTAGCTGGGACTATAGGCGCCCGCCACCATGCCCAGCTAATTTTTTTTTTTTTTTTGTATTTTTAGCAGAGACGGGGTTTCACCGTGTTAGCCAGGATGGTCTCGATCTCCTGACCTCATGATCCGCCCGTCTCGGCCTCTCAAAGTGCTGGGATTACAGGCGTGAGCCACTGTGCCTGGCCTGAAATGTTTTATTTGTTTGGTAGTCAGTTCTCCATTTGAGGTGGTGAAGGGGGCAAAGACCTTGGGGAACAGGGATACTCAGTGAGACACAGTAGGGAAGAGCTGGAAGCCTCCACTGTCCTAGCATGGAGTTCCTGAAGGCATGCTGGGGCCAAAACGCAGGACCGGCACGTGCTGCCCAAGTTGCTCCTGACGTTATCCATGGAAAGATGAAGGAGAACCCCCTTTGGTTCAGGGAAAGAATGGGCCTTGTCATCCTTTGTGATAAAATTACTACATTACCCTCCCACATTATCTCTTTTTTGCTTGTCACATTTAATGACAAACTGTGCCCGAACCATCCCAGGTGGGTGGCAGTGGCGTCACTATTTCTCTCCGCTTGTAGCTGTGGGTCTCCAGTGTATGTGATTGTATCTTTTTCTGGGAACATACAGGGGGCCTTTTCCTGTGATGAGCATAAGATTTGGTCAAAGTGAGATAGACATAGCACCAAAGCTATACACTTGTTCTCTCTGTAGCAGAAAGGAGTCTGTTCTGCTTTTATGAAAATTGAAATTATTTCTACTGATGGTGTCATGGGACTTTGCTCCCCTGAGGTAAGGCCTTAGGCACCATATAAATCTTGAAGGGATGAGTTTTTTAAAAATTAATGATTAAGAGTACTAGTCTGTTTGATCAGACAATATAAAGCCACCTCTAGCACTTACTAGCAGTGTGATCTTGAATAAGCCATATCTTTTAAAGCCTTGAGTTTTTCCTCTATAAAATGGAAATGATAATCCTCCCTCATAGGGTTGTAAGGATGCAATGACCTCAAGCATATAAACGGTCTGGCCCACAGAAAGCCTTCAATAAATGGTGGCATTGGTCATCAGTGAGACGTGGCATTACCATCCCCAAATGCCCAAGCCTATGTTGAAGAAAGATGTTGGCTGCATTCTCACTGCTTACTGTTTTTCCTTTTCTAGTGACTTGCTGTCTCCTGACTCAGTCCTGAGTTGCTTGTATCCTGGGGATCATGGAAAGAAAACTCCGAATCCAGCCAATCAGTATCAGTTTGATAAAGTTGGGTGAGTCAGCAGTTTCCTCCTCTCCGAGCTCTCTACTTCTGAGTTTCTCTGGTGGCTCAAGCTAAATGCTGGAGACCTGTTAGGGCCAGAGGTGACCCAGAGGATAGGAAAGACCACAGGGTAGAAGGAAATGTTTGTTCTTTCTTGCTTACAAGGCAAAGGGAGATCACAAAAAGGGTGGAAGGATCAAAACTCGGAAACATGCTGGGTGTGGTGGCTCACGCCTGTAATCCCAGCACTTTGGAAGGCCAAAGCAGGTGGATTCCTTGAGCTCAGGAGTTCGATACCAGCCTGGGCAACATGGCAAAACCCTGTCTCTACAAGAAATACAAAAATTAGCCAGGCATGGTGGTGGGCATTTGTAGTCCCAGCTACTGGGGAGGTTGAGGTGGGAGAATTGCATGAGCCCAGGAGGTTGAGGCTGCAGTGAGCCATGGTCATGTCGCTGTACTCCAGCCTGGGGGCAACAGAGCCAGACCCTGTCTCAAAACAAAAACAAAAAGAAAAACAAAAAAAACCCTCTGGAAGCATAATAATACGTGATACAATAAAAATGTTTGACATTTTAATTATCCGAGGATTAATTTTTAAAAGATTTTCTAAATTGGTAGACCAATAAAGACATTAGTACACTGCCTTTGTATTTGATATTTGCTTATAAGTTGAAGGCTGCAAGAAGAAAAGGAAAAAGAGGAAAGTGAATGTGAGAGAGATGAAATTCACAGTAGGGAACTGACAAAGTTGAAGGGCTTTGCCAGCAGCCTGGCTGTGAACATGGCCAAACCTGCAGGACTGGATGGTTTGTGGGGCATGGGAGGGTGGGAGGAGGCTGTATCCTGGGACCACAGCAGAAATGACTTACAGCACAATTTTATTTATCTTCTTTTCTGCAGCATCCTGACTTTGAGCGACTATGTACTTGAGCTAGGTCACCCCTATTTGTGGGTGCAGAAGCTGGGTGGCCTCCACTTCCCCAAAGAGCAGCCCCAGGTCTGTACACTGATCTCATCTAGTTGGCTGAGGAGCTTACCTCTTCTCTTCCTGTATAGACTCTAGAAAGGCCAGGCCAGGTGCGGTGGCTCATGCCTATAATCCTTGTACTTTGGGAGGCTGAGGCAGGTGGATCACCTGAGGTCAGGAGTTTGAGACCAGCCTGGCCAACATGATGAAACCCCATCTCTACTAAAAATACAAAAAATTAGCTGGGTGTGGTGGCACGTTCCTATAATCCCAGCTATTCAGGAGGCTGAGGCAGGAGAATCACTTGAACCAGGGAGGCAGAGGTTGCGGTGAGCTGAGATCATGCCACTGCACTCCAGCCTGGGCAACAAGAGCAAAACTCCGTCTCAAAAAAAAAAAAAAAGGCCTGTCATGGCCTTTGGAGTTTTGAACTGGCAGAATGTGTCCCCTCAGGGCTGTGACCTGTCTTCTATCCACTCAGGACACTAAAATGTCTTAGACTTACAAGAGTTTACGTACCTTTTGCATTTTCTCTGAGCCTAGTAGCCTTTTAGACCCAGGCAACTTGAGTCCTTGCTCTGGGACTCATGTCTGCAGGCTCTGCTGCCCTTGTTCTTGTGTGCAAGTACCAAATATGAGGCATGAGCAGAAATCCAGGGGGCCTGGCCCCTTAGCAGAAGCCTGCCTTTCCTCAGGAGTTGGACACAGCTTCTCAAGAACGCAGCATATTGTGTTGTTTCTGCCAGGACTCAGCGTCTGGCCTGTCATAGCAGATAAACCTTGCCATGTCTAAAGGGTACCCATCTTGGGGCATGGATAATCCAGGGTGCCGCAGACAGGCAGGTCCCAGGAGAGAGATGGTGCCCGGAGGAAGGGATGGGGGAGCACACGTGTATGTGTCTCATTGTCACTCACAGCAAACAGTGATTGCTGACCACTCGCTGAGCGCCAGCCACATGGAGACCACCATGAAACTTCTGAAGACCAGGGTGCAGTCCCGCCTGGCCCTCCACAAACAGTTTGCATCCCTAGGTAAGCTGATGATGGGGCAGTGGTTTAAGAGTCACTCAGACAACACACGGACAACAACAACTTAGCCTTTCACTCAAAACTTGAATCCTGATGACAAATACAAGACCTGGATTCCTGGCTTTACGGAGTGGGCATCTTGGCAGAGCCACTGGGGAGAGCTCCAGGCCTGTCCAGGCAGAGGACCGAGCTCCCCCTTAGAGCCATCAGTGCTGTCCTGCCTCACAGAGGAGGCCCAGAGCCATTGGGTGGCACAAGTTTGTGGACTGGTCGGGGCAGTTCATCCTAGGTCATGCATTGCAGATTTTGATGTGCATTCGACACATATTTAGTGAGATCCTGATTCATGCCAGGCACTGAGCATAGTGCTGGGGGAAGAACTGAGCACAGTGAACCCCTGCCCCTGGCTCTGTGGCTCACAGTCAGCTTTTTGAATATAGCTATCCAGGGAGCAACTCGCATATCCCTTCCCCAAGGCCTACTGACCTCGTGTTCCCCAGGGTGAGGCTGAGCCTATGTTTTCTTCTAAGCTCCCAAGTGATAATGATGAGCCACTGACTTAGGTGGTGGCATTTGGGGGCTTCTTTTAGTTTATTCACTCAGTAAGTGGTTGTCAAATGCTTACCATGTGGCAGGGGGATGGGGTCAAGATTTTTCTGACCTAAAAGAGTCTCTGGGACAGGCGCAGTGGCTCTTGCCTGTAATCACAGCACTTTGGGAGGCCAAGGCAGACAGATCACTTGAGGTCAGGAGTTCAAGACCAGCCTGCCAACATGGTGAAACTCCGTCTCTACTAAAAATACAAAAATTAGCTGGGCATGGTGGTGTGCACTTGTATTCCCAGCTACTCAGGAGGCTGAAGCAGGAGAATTGCTTGAACCTGAGAGGCGGAAGTTGCAGTGAGCTGAGATCGCATCACTGTATTCCAGCCTGGGCAACAAAGCGAGACTCCATCTCAAAATAAAAAGTAAAAAATAAAAAAGAGTCTCTGTCAGGAAAGGCATTGGGTTTCCAGGACACATCTGGAGACCACTCCCCACCAGTTCTTAGACTCCACATGGCTGCCGATCTCTCCAGAGCACTGATGTTTGTCCATCGGGCCGTGCTCCCCATCAGCACTGCTGAGTTTGTTTTGTCCCAAGGTAGGGAACTTGTCATTCTGGACAGTACTTACTGTGTTGGCATATTTGCTTATTTAAATGCCAGCAGGAATTTACCCTGGAGCAGTTATCTGGCTCTTCTCCCTGACACACAACACTTCAGTTGTTTCCTCCATCAAGGTCAGCTATGAAAACACAGGCCTCTATGCTATTTGATCTAATTAACAGTCACTGCTGCAGGGGCACCCTCCCTAGTTCTGACTGTAAGGGTTTTTCTTTGGCAGGCTATCATTTGCATTAAAGAGAAAGCACCATAAGTGCTGGCACTGGATCTGGCCACAAGCACATAGCACTGGGTGAAGGTCAGGTTGACATGCTTGCATTCCTGGCACGTGTTGACCTGGGTACTTCCTGAGTACCAGGTATACCAGGATAGCTGGCCGGGCCATCTGAGCCCTTCAGAGAGCCCCAGGAGGATGCTAGTTACCCATCTGTGGCACCTGATTTCTACCTGTGACGTCATCTGTCTTGTTCTCTTTTAGAACATGGCATTGTGCCAGTTACCAGTGATTGCCAGTACCTCTTCCCTGCCAAGGTTGTCTCTCGCCTGGTGAAATGGGTGACAGTTGCCCATGAGGATTACATGGTAGGTGAAGGAGTGACAAGTTACCCTTACTGTCCTGAGGATTGCAGGACCATGTCACCTTTCAGCTCCTGCCACCTCACTGGAAGAGCAGGGGGTTTAACCAGAGGAGCCAGCAGTTCACCTCTTGTCTGTGGTACCTCTTCTAGGAGCTGCACTTCACCAAAGACATTGTGGATGCGGGACTGGCTGGGGACACCAATCTCTACTACATGGCGCTCATCGAAAGGGGCACAGGTAATTGCTCTGCTGATTACAGGGGTTCTAGACAAAGGGCGCTGCCAAGAATCAAACACTCTCCGGGGCTGCCCAAAGCAGAAGATCCTGGAGTCCTGCAAGGACTTAACAGATAATAATGATCGTGAGAGCCTGTTCAGCAAGGACTCATTCTGCAACACAGTCACACACACGCTGTGTATCACTGAACCCTCACTGCAGTCCTAGGGGTGGTGCTTTCATTTCTATTTTACATGGGAGGAAATTCAGGCTTAGTTGCAAGCCCAGTCTGAGCGCTGAGCCTGAGCTCTTTGCTCCTTCCTTCACCGCTTTCTAGTACCGGACATCTCCTCCTTCTCCCTCTTCATAACAGGGCTGAGGTGTCACCCTCAGGTTGTAAAGGGCAGGGCCACAGGGCCTCGCTCCCTCTTCTGCAGTCCCTGCACTCACTTTAGAGGCATTGAAAGCTCTGATTCTTCATACCTCTTCTGGCATCTGACTCTGCCAGGGCTCCCTGCTGAAGTCCTGGGATGTTGTGTTTGGGCCGTTGTGCTGTTGTCCCACCCAAGCCGCAGCAAGCCTGGCACTGCCCGTGGGATCTGACACCCTCAAGACTTGGTGCTGAGCTGAGGAAGTTGTCTGTAGTTCTAAGACAGTTCCAGAACTGTAAGGAAAGGCTGAACTCTTTGGTATCAGAGTTTCTGTCCTCACTACCCCACTTTCTTCTCTTTCTATTCTTCATGTCTTTTAAAAAAAAAATTCTGAAGAAACTGAATATTTCAGATACAGTTGAGGCCTCCCTATCCCACTTTATTCCCTTTCTCCTAATAAGTGACCACTATTTGGATTTTATGCATTTGCTTTCCATCCTTTCCCCGCTACACCCTTTTTTTTTTTTTTTTCAGTAGAGATAAGGTCTTGCTTTGTCGCCCAGGCTGGAGTGCAGTGGCACGATCATAGCTCACTGCAATCTTGAACTCCTGGACTCAAGCAATCCTTCTTCCACCTTAGCTCCCTGAGTAGCTGCGACTACAGGTATGCTACCATGCTCAGCTAAGATTTTTTGTTTTTGTTTTTGTTTTTTTGTAGAGGCATGTTCTTACTATGTTGCCAAGCCTGGTCTCAAACTCCTGGCCTTTCTTCCAAAGTGCTGGGATTGTAGGCATCAGCCATCATGCCTGGCCTCTCCCCTTTCAAAATTTAATTTAACTTATTTTTTGAGACAGGGTCTTGCTCTGTTGCCTAGACTGGAGTACAGTGGCTCAGTCATGGCTCACTGCAGCCTCAACTGCCTGGGCTCAAGTCATTTCCCTACCTCAGCCTCTTGAGTAGCTGGGGCTACAAATGTGCACCACCATGCTTGGCTAATTTTTTTTTTTTTTTTTTGTAGAGATAAGGTCTTGCTTTGTTGCCCAGGCCAGTCTCGAACTCCTAGGTTTAAGTGATCCTCCCAACTCGGCCTCCCAAAGTGCTGGGATTGCAGGCATGAACCACCACACCCGGTCTTCCTTTTATCTCATCCCTAAACAACATAAAGTACAGGCATACCTCAGAGATATTGCAGGTTCAGTTGCAGACTACCACAATAAAGCAAACTTTGCAATAAAGTAGGTGACACAAATTTTTTGGTTTCCCAGTACGTATAAAAGTTATGTTTGCACTATAGTCTAAGTGTACAATAGCATCATGTTTTTAAAAAACAATATACAGCCGGGCGCAGTGGCTCATGCCTATAATCCCAGCATTCTGGGAGGCTGAGGTGGGCAGATCACCTGAGGTCAGGAGTTCGAGACCAGCCTGGCCAACATAGTGAAACCCTGTCTCTACTAAAAATACAAAAATTGGCTGGGCATGGTGGCATGCACCTGTAGTCCCAGCTACTCAGGAGGCTGAGGCAGGAGAATCGCTTGAACCCAGGAGGTGGAGGTTACAATGAGCCGAGATCATGCCACTGCACTCCAGCCTGGGCGACAGAGCAAGACTCTCTTTCAAAAAAAACAACAACAAAAAACAATATATATACCTTAATTTAAAAGTACTTTATGGGCTGGGCATGGTGGCCCATGCCTGTAATCCCAGCACTTTGGGAGGCTGAGGTGGGAGGATCACTTGAGGTCAGGAGTTCAAGACCAGCCTGGCCAACATAGCAAACCCTGTCTCTACTAAAAATATAAAAGTTAGCCGGGGTTGGTGGTGGGCACCTGTAATCTCAGCTACTTGGGAGTCTGAGGCAGGAGAATTGCTCGAACCCGGAAGGTTCGAGCTTGCAGTGAGCCAAGATCGAGCCACTGCACTCCAGCCTGGGTGACAGAGCAAGACTCCGTCTCAAAAAATATATATATATATATTTTTTCATTTGAGTGCATTGTGAAATTGAAAAGCAAAATTTAGACGAATAAGTGGGCAACAATTGCAAATATAATTCTTCAGTCATGGCCGGGTGCGGTGGCTCAGGTGTGTAATCCCAGCACTTTGGGAAGCCGAGGCGGGCGGATCACGAGGTCAGGAGATGGAGACCATCCTGGCTAACATGGTGAAACCCCATCTCTACTAAAAATACAAAAAATTAGCCGGGCCTGGTGGCGGGCGCCTGTAGTCCCAGCTACTCGGGAGGGTGAGGCAGGAGAATGGCGTGAACCCGGGAGGCGGAGCTTGCAGTGAGCTGAGATGGCGCCACTGCACTCCAGCCTGGGTGACAGTGCGAGACTCCATCTCAAAAAAAAAAAAAAAAAAATTCTTCAGTCATTCTACAACAGATCCATTTGGAAACTTTCTGTAGTGTGAATTTAAAAATTGGTGAACAGCCTGGGCGTGGTGGCTCACGCCTGTAATCCCAGCACTTTTAGGTGGAGGCGGGTGGATCACGAGGTCAGGAGTTCAAGACCAGCCTGGCCAAGATGGTGAAAACCCGTCTCTACTAAAAATACAAAAATTAGCTGGGCGCGGTGGCGCATGCCTGTAATTCCAGCTACTTGGGAGGCTGAGGCAGGAGAATCGCTTGAACTTGGGAGGCGGAGGTTGCAGTGAGCTGAGATTGGGCCATTGCACTCTAGCCTTGGTAACAAGAGCGAGACTCTGTCTCAAAAAAAAAAAAAAAATTGATGAACAGAGATAAATCCAGAAATGTATGCTGATTATTAGGACAGAAGCAATACAGCAGCAGAGAAAGAAAATACTTTTTATTTTATTTTTATTTTTTATTTATTTAATTCTTTATAGGGATGAGGACTTGCTATGTTGACCAGGCTGGTCTTAAACTTCTGGCTTCAAACCATCCTTCTGCCTCAGCCTGCCATTGTGCTGGGATTACAGGCGTGAGCCACGACGCCTGGCCAGAAAGCACTTTTTATTTATTTATTTTGAGACGGAGTCTTGCTTTGTTGCGTAGGCTGGAGTACAGTGGCATGATCTCAGCTCACTGCAACCTCCACCTTACCAGGTTCAAGTGACCCTCCCGTCTTGGCCTCCTAAGCAGCTGGGATTACAAGCATGTCCCACTAGGCCTGGCTAATTTTTGTATTTTTACTAGAGATGAGATTTCACTATGTTGGCTGGGCTGGTCCTGACCTCAAGTGATCCACCCACTTCTGCCTCCCAAAGTGCTGGGATTATAGGCGTGACCCCCCATGCCCAGTCCAGAACACTCTTTTTTGGGGACAGGGGGAGGTAAAGCAACTTTTTTTTTTTTTTTTTGAGACGGAGTCTTGCTCTGTCACCCAGGCTGGAGTGCAGTGGCACGATCTCTGCTCACTGCAAGCTCCACCTCCTGGATTCAAGCGATTCTCCTGCCTCAACCTCCTGAGTAGCTGGTAGCTGGGACTACAGTCGCCCACCACCACGCCCAGCTAATTTTTTGTATTTTTAGTAGAGACGGGGTTTCACCATGTTAGCCAGGATGGTCTCGATCTCCTGATCTCGTGATCCGCCCACCTCGGCCTCCCAAAGTGCTGGGATTACAGGCGTGAGCCACCGCGCCAGCCACAACTTTTTAATTAATGTTCTGACTGTTAGGGAAGAATTGTGTTAACCTCTCCTCTCCTCTGTTATTTGAATAACTAGTGGTCAGAGAGTGAAAGTCTCCCCCCTAAAAATAACTAAAAAGGAATGGCATACCTATCCCACTTGAGAAGATAAATGTCTTCCTGTTGAAAAAGGCAAAGGCTTTCACCAGAGAATAAATGAGTATGTTCAAAAACACAAATATTTTGTTTAATGATTATGAACACAGCTTTGATATCAGCCAGTTCTGGTTAAACTCAGCACTGCTACCTTCCAACTATTTGATGGTAGGGAAGTTTCTGTCAGAGCCTGTTTCTTTATGTGTAAAATGAGGATGAGGATAATAGTACCTAACTCATAGAATTATTGTTAGGATGAAATAAAATGTGTCTAGAGGGTTTAGCACAGTGCCTGGGATACAGTAAGGACTCTCTACATGTTGGCTAGTATACAGAATTTTATGTAACAAAGTATGTAAAAATCAAATGAAGAAAATAGAGAAAATATATTTGATGTGATAGTTGATACACAGTATTGTTGAAAAATTAGTAAGCTTTCACATGGAGAAAACCTTAGCTTGCTGGCAAATAAAGAAATGACAATTACACTTCTATCAAAGTAGCAAATAGAACTCATGGAGAGAGCCAAGGTGGACCAGACTCTGGGGAGTCCGCAGCTTTGTGGCACAGTAAATATGTCAAAGTCCTTGGAGAGACCAATTATAGGACCTCACATTCTGCAAGCTGGCAATTCCACTTAGGACATTCTGGAACAGTTGGTACCAGAATATACTCTGCAGCATTCAGATTAATAGGAGACATCTGAGCTAGCCTCAGGGGTGCAGTGGGGAGGCTGCCATGGCTGGCAAGCTGAGTCTTAGAACTGCGCATTTCCCCTCTCTCCTCTCTTCCCAGCCAAACTGCAGGCCGCTGTGGTGTTGAACCCTGGCTACTCCTCCATCCCACCTGTTTTCCAGCTCTGTTTGAACTGGAAAGGGGAGAAAACCAACAGCAACGATGACAACATTCGGGTAAGACCCAGCTGGGGATGACAGGAGGAGCAGGCAGAGCTCCCGGGGGAGGTGGCCGTGGCAGAACCCACTGCAGCTGAGGACTTGGGCACTGCCTTAATTCCCAAAACAGAAGGTTGTGCCAGGATTTGCAGAATTTGCTGGAGCTTGTGTGGTGTACTAGAGGAAAGAGCCCAGACCTACTTGCCTACCTTGGGGTCCACAGGTTTCCCCACTTAGAGAGTAAGGAGAAATACCTACCTTGAAAGGTTATTGGCTTGGGCTCCTATAAAAAATGTGAATAAGCTCTGAAGCATTATAGAAGCACTGGAATGACATGAGGAATGACATCACTGCAGTTGTTAATCAGCATTGCAGCTGTTAATCAGCATTGCAGTTGTTAATCAGCATTGCTGCTACTAAGTCAAACATGCCATGGAACACGTTTTTAACCAACATCTTCTGACTTAGGTCTTATTTTGAGACTGCTTCCCTGCACACCTCTGTTTTCCTGGCTGTGGGCATATGAGGCAGGGAAAGCTATGGGTCAGAATCAGGAAGACCTCATTGTCTTGATGAGGGGGCCTGAGGACAAGCCAGTCTAGCTTGATCTGATGGCCTAGCCCCTGGCCCAGCCCCTGCAGAGGCATCAGCGCTCGGGCCCATCCAGGGACGGAAGCCTGGCCAGTGTGGTCCCCCACATGCAGGAAGGTAGTGCTGAGATGCTGGCTTTCCTATCACACAGGCCATGGAGGGCGAAGTCAATGTGTGCTACAAGGAGCTGTGTGGCCCTTGGCCCAGCCACCAGCTGTTGACCAACCAGCTGCAGCGGCTGTGTGTGCTGCTGGATGTTTACCTGGAGACCGAGAGCCATGACGACAGTGTGGAGGGGCCCAAGGAATTTCCCCAGGAGAAGATGTGTCTGCGGCTCTTCAGGTGAGGAGAGGGTTGGGGCTCTGGTGACTTCTCATGGTGATGTGGGACAGAGATCAGAGCCAGATTTTCTGGGGAGAGCTTGCTTCTTCCTTCCTGAAACTTCCCCTGCAGCCGATGCCTATCACTCTGGTCCACCTGTTTTTCACTAACACCTCCTGAAGGTGTTAGTGCCAGGTCTGAGCCAAGAGGATTTGGCTGAACTTTATTTTCTATACTTTCTGTGGAAAACAATAGAGTTTGTTTGCTTTTTAGTGTCCAAATAAGCTTTTTAAACTGTGTGCATCCTCGCCTGTCCCCAGGGAGTCTGCTGTGGTCTTTCTAGGGTACTGTCCTGTCAGTGAGAATCACAGCTTAGGCAGTCAGGTGGCACAGAAGGAACCAGCTTCAAAGTAAAACAGATAGGAGTGCAGATCTCTGTTTTGCTGCTGACCTTAGAAGAGTCAGTTCTGCTTAGCTCTGAGCCCTCCTCCAGCTTTTTGTTTGTTTGTTTCCTTTTCTTTGAGACACGGTCTTACTCTCTTGCCCAGACTGGAGTGCAGCAGCATGATCATAGCCCACTGTAGCCTTGCAGTCTTGACCTCTGGAGCTCAAACGATCCTTCCGCCTCAGCCTCCCTAGTAGCTGGGACCACAGACATGCACCGCCACACGCAACTAATTTTTAAATTTTTTTGTAGAGATGGGGTTTCACCATATTAGCCAGGCTGGTCTCAAACTCCTAGGCTCAAGTGATCAGCTTGTCTCAGCCTCCCAAAGTGCTGGGATTACAGGCATGAGCCATTGTGCCTGACCCCTATTTTCTAAAGACAGAAATGGTGAAAGTAATACCTTCTAGCTCATGATGAAGCAGAAGTAATTCATATAAAGTCCTGGCACAGGACTGGGACTCGGAAAATGCCAGCAGTTCCTGACAGCTTGGTACTCAAGAGTGTCTGGGCTCATGGCACTTCCAGCTACTTTTCCTTTCTCTTTCATTTTGGGTCCTTTATTTCCCTTTCAGCCTCTAACTCATGTTCTTTTAAGAGTCAGTTTCAAAACTGCAGATTTCACTGCTCAGGCATCCCTTCCCTTCTGCATGAGGTTGGCGGGGAGCAGTGTTTGGGAAGGAAGAAGAGTGATAATCTGTTTCTAATCAGAACATCCCCCCTTGTTCCCTGTCAGTCTACACAGTGCCTTATCTCTCCCTCACCTTGTTCTCTGTTCCCTGTCAGTCTAAGCAGTGCCTTACCTCTCCCTCACCTTGTTCTCTGTTCCCTGTCAGTCTAAGCAGTGCCTTACCTCTCCCTCACCTTGTTCTCTGTTCCCTGTCAGTCTAAGCAGTGCCTTACCTCTCCCTCACCTTGTTCTCTGTTCCCTGTCAGTCTAAGCAGTGCCTTACCTCTCCCTTACCTTGTTCTCTGTTCCCTGTCAGTCTAAGCAGTGCCTTACCTCTCCCTCACCTTGTTCTCTGTTCCCTGTCAGTCTAAACAGTGCCTTACCTCTCCCTCACCTTGTTCTCAGACAGCCAGTTCTAGCCCCTAGAAGCAGTCCCAGCATCCTTTCACCTCATCTGACACCTCCACTGGCCTGGTTCATTATGTTATCTCATAATAACCAGTTCCAGCTCTGAGTGGCTGCTGGGAGGTGGAGCTGGTGGCCAGATGCTGGCACCTTCTAGGACTTGCTCTCTCCCTAGAGGGCTTGTGTGAGACCTCTGCTCTTCTCACCTGCCCAGCCCATTCTAGCACATTGCCAGGGTGGGAATTCTCACATGGCCAGCATTGATTTCCTCTTCTCCAGTGGTTCCCAAAGGACCCATTTCTTTTTCTTTTTTCTTTTTTTTTTTTTTTTTGAGACAGAGTCTCACTCTGTCGCCCAGGCTGGAGTGTAGTAGCATGATCTCGGCTCACTGCAACCTCCACCTCCCGGCCAAAGGACCCCATTCTTGAAGGGCTTTGTTGTGTCTCCAGGCTGAGCTCCTCTGTCAGCATTCTGGGAAGGTGCTCCTTCAGTGACTCAGATCCAGTTAACTCTATGGCCGGTAGATGTGAGAGGCAAGGCTCTCCGGCCAGGATGCAGAGTGCTGGCATGGGCAGCAAGAGACCTGAGGCCAGGAGTTCCACCAGCCTGGCCAACATGGCAAAACCTAAACTAAACCTCAACCTAAACCCGGGCGTGGTGGTGCATGCCTGTAATCCCAGCTACTTGGGAGGCTGAGGTACAAAAATCCTTTGAACCCGGGAAGCAGGGGTTGCAGTGAGCCGAGATCACGCCACTGCACTCCAGCCTGGGCGACACAGAGACTCCGTCTCAAAAAATAAAAAAAGGAACAATCCTAAAAAGTGAGGGTGCCTAAAGCTATGTCCCCGAAGTGCCACTGTCAGTGAGGGCCTTTCCAAGTTTGTGTTCACTCATTTGCAAGCACAAAAAGACATTTTTACAAAAATAGTATCGCACCTTATATGTTGTTCTGCCGTATGCTTTTCTCAACAACATTCTGTGTCATGTAACTCTGCCTCTTCTTTTTCCCTTGTGTGAATGAACCATAATTTATTTTATCAGCCTAGAAGGTGTGTTATTAACAACTCCGTTCTCCTATTTCTCTAGGGGTCCTAGCAGGATGAAGCCATTTAAATACAACCATCCTCAGGGATTCTTCAGCCATCGCTGATCTCCCGCGCAGACCGTTGTTTCCCCCAAGGCCTCACCCTGAGCACTGGGCTTCTGCTTTCTGCTCTGGCCCACATGTGACTCTTGATATTCTCCAAAGACACCAGCCAATTAAAAAGCGTCACCTGACCAGTGGCCTTTGTCTGTGGTTCCTGGCAAGGTGGCTTTGCAGTCTGGAAGGGCAGGTGGGAGCTGTGACACAGTGTGAAAAAGCATTTGTAGAGAGACTTTTTCTCAGCAGCCAATAAAAGCAGAGTGGAAAAAGATTCCAATTCTGCAGAGAGATGCTCACCTCTTGTCTACGCACACCCTATTTGTGCTTTGCGGGGTGAGGTCCTCATGATCTTGTATTTATTATCCCAAGTTCCTGCTGTTAAGAGGTGGTAGGAGAAGCCAAAGGCAGCAGAGCACAAAAAGCAAAACTCTTCCCTCCCCACCCGCTCTTCCCATTAGTCCTGTCAGGGTTGCCGATGGACAAATTGTCTCTGATCGTTGGATGTTATAAATGTCTGACAGTGCAGTGCAAACAGAAGACAAACTCAGTTGATCCTTGAACAACTCAGGGGTTAGGGGCACCAACACCCCCTGCCCTGCACAGTTGAAAAATCCGTGTATAACTTTTGACTCCCTAAAAACTTAACTAATAGCCTGCTGTTGACCAGTAGTATGCTATTAGTAGTTACTTACTGCTAACATAGTCAGTACATATTTTCAGTATATATTTTGTATCTTATACACTGTATTCTTACAATACAGTAAACTAGAGAAAAGAAAATGTTATAAGGAAAGTCACAAGGGGGCCTGAGTGCAGTGGCTCACGTCTGTAATCCCAGCACTTTGGGAGGCCAAGGCGGGTGGATCACTTGAGGTCAGGAGTTTGAGACCAGCCTGGCCGACATGGTGAAACCCTGTCTCTACTAAAAACATGGAAATTAGCCAAGCGTGGTGGCGCATGCCTGTAGTCCCAGTTACTCAGGAGGCTGAGGCAGAATTACTTGAACCCATGAGGCAGAGGTTGCAGTAAGCCAAGATCACGCTCCTGCGCTCCGGCTTGGGCGAGAGTGAGACTCCGTCTCAAAAATAAATAAATAAGAAAGCCATAAGGAAGAAAATATATATCTACTATTAAGTAGAAGTGGATCACCATAAAGGTCTTCACATACTGTCTCAGGGTTGAATAGTCTAAGGAAGAGGAGGGGTTGGTCTTGGTGTCTCAGGGATGGCAGAGGCAGAAAAAGTGGGGGAGGTGGAGGGGGAGGCAGGCACCACTGTTATTTTTATTGAACAAAATCTGTGCAGGGACTCATGACTGTAATCCTAGTACTTTGGAAAGCTAAGGCGGGAGGATCCCTTGAGGCCAGGAGTTCAGGTCCAGCCTGGGCAACGTAGTGAGAGACCCTGTATCTACAAAAAATTTAAAAATCAGCCAGGTGTGGTGGTATGCACCAATAGTCCCAGTTACTCAGAAGGCTGAGGTGGGCGGATGACTGGAGTCCAGGAGTTCAAGGTAGCAGTGAGCTATTCATCGTGCCTGTACTGTACTCCAGCCTGGGAAACAATGCGAGTCCCTATCTCTAAAAAATTTTAAAAAAAGAAATCTGCATATAATAGACCCACAGAGTCCAAACTATTGTTCAGAGATCAACTGTACTTCACAGAGAGTAATTCTAAGTCTTACAGGATTTCATGGAGATGGCGAGAGTGGTGTTGGAGAATCAATCACATACAGAGATACAGGACAGTGAGACCAGGTAACATTTGAGGAGAATATTTTTTTTTTATTGAGACAGGGTCTTGCTCTGTTGTCCAGGCTGGAGTGCAGTGGCACGAACACAGCTCACTGCCGCCTCAACCTCTCCTGGGTTCAAGTGATCCTCCTGCCTCAGCCTCCCAAGTAGCTGGGACCACAGGTGTGTGCCACCATTTCTGGCTAATTTTTAAATTTTTTGTAGAGGCGGGATCCCACTATTTTTCCCAGGCTGGTCTCAAACTCCTGGGCTCAAATGATCCTCCCACCTCGGCCTCCCAAAGTGCTAGGATTATAGGCATGAGCCACCACACCCGGCCTGAGTAGAGTCTTTAAGGTAATGACAAAAGTGCCTCAAAATATAATTATTTGATTAAGAGAAGTCTTGGGAAGATAGGTAACAACCTTTAAAATGTTCATAAAATTACATCCTTTGTAATACTCCTGCAAGTCAAAGTAAAGGATGGCATAGACTATTCTTGGACAGTTTTGTCAAAAAGTGTATCTTGACCCCACCATCAGTACTCCATTCTTCATTTTAAAAAATAAGATGGGCTGGGCACAGTGGCTTACGCCTTTAATATCAGTACTTTGGGAGGCTGGTGGGCGGATCACCTGAGATCAGGAGTTCAAGACCAGCCTGGCCAACATGGTGAAACCCCGTCTCTACTAAAAATACAAAAATTAGCTGGGCATGGTGGTGCGCGCCTGTAATCCCAGCCACTCGGGAGGCTGAGGCAGGAGAATTGCTTGAATCCCCGAGGCGGAGGTTGCACTGAGCCGAGATGGTGCCACTGCACCATCTGGACAACAGAGCAAGACTCCGTCTTGGAAAAAAAAAAAAAGATGTAGAAATGTAAAAATATTTGAGAATTATTACATAGTTGCAGATATAGTTTGCTAACTCCAAGAGGAAACACATTTTATTTTTTGTGATTGTCCTGATGAAACTTTATCCCCCCACAACATGCTGTTAAGCTTGGTTCCCATCATAAGCATATTCCCCCTAAGTGGACTTTTACTGATTTTCCATGGATAATGCAGACCTCCAGTATAAAAGCTATTCCTCCAGGTCTCTCTGCCGACCACTGAGTATCCCAGGGATAAGGATTTTAAGAGTAAGAGCTAAGTAATAAATTCCTGCCCCTAGCAGGGCCGTTCATTTTACGGATGAAAACCTGATCCTTGCTGGGCGTGGTGGCTCATGCCTATAATCCAAGCCATTCAGAAGGCTGAGGCAGGAGGATTGCTTGAGCCCAGGAGTTCAAGACCAGCCTGTGTAATATAGTGAGTCCCCATTCAGAAAAAGAAAAGAAACCTGAGCCTAGCAAGGAGAAGAGAATGGTACCTTTGGTGGCTGTTAAATCACCACCGCTACCCTCAGTCCACATCAGTCCTTTGAATTCCAAAGGCAGGTACTCTCTAGCTCAGAGGTCCTCGAACTTCAGCCTGTGTGGGAGTCACCCATCCTGGCACCTGATTAGAAACACAGACACCCAAGTCCCATTCCAAATATTCTGACTCAATTGACCTGAGATGCACCAAGGAAGTGTATTTTTTTATTTTTATTTTTTGAGCCTTGCTCTGTCGCCCAGGCTAGAGTGCAAGGGCGCAATCTCAGCTCACTGCAACCTCTACCTCATCGGTTTAAGTGATTCTCCTGCCTTAGCCTCCCAAGAGCTGGGATTATAAGTGTGCGGCTAATTTTGTATTTTTAGTAGAGACAGGGTTTCACCATGTTGGCCAGGCTGGTCTCAAACTCCTGACCTCGGGTGATCCACCCACCTTGGCCTCCCAAAGTGCTGGGATTACAGGTGCGTGCCACCACGCCCAGCCAGGAAGTGTATTTTTAACAAGGATCCCTGGGTATAGGCTGCCCTGGTCTCTTTATGGAAGGCACTGTACTTTCTTCCCTTCCCTTCCCTTTCTTCATTTTTCTTGATGACTCTACAGGGCCAAATTCTCTGGGCAGCTGTCTTTCTTCTGTCTTCTGCACTTGGGTAGCAGCATGAGCATCTGGGTGCTTTTTTTTTTTTTTTTTTTTTTTTTTTGAGACGGAGTCTCGCTCTGTTGCCCAGGCTGGAGTGCAGTGGCATGATCTCGGCTCACTGCAACCTCAGCCTCCCGGGTTCACGCAATTCTCCTGCCTCAGCCTTCTGAGTAGCTGGGATTACAGGCGCCCACCACCATGCTAATTTTTTATATTTTTAGTAGAGATGGGGTTTCACCATGTTAACCAGGATGGTCTCGATCTCCTGACCTCGTGATCTGCCCGCTTCGGCCTCCCAAAGTGCTAGGATTACAGGCGTGAGCCACCGCGCCTGGCTAAGTATTTCTCTCCACATAGCGAGATCTCCTTGTCTTTTCCCTGACCTACTTGCCTGGGACTTTGTCCCAGGCGGCATCCCCCTGGTCTGTCCACCTTCAGGCCTTGTGTCTCACCGCCTGTGCTGAATAAGATTGAAATAGAGCCTAAAAATAGTTTAATGGCCCCTGCATTGCAGCCTGCACTTCTCTGTTCTTGGCTGGAAGGCAGCCAAACTGACTCAGCACAAAAGCTCATCTCCAGAAGCCGGGACAAGATTTCAAAGAGGGCTTGTGAGGGCTGGGAAGAGGCTTTGCTTCTTAGACAGGGGATATCAGAGCCTGTCACCCTCCAGAAGAGATTTTCCCTTTCCAGAGAAGCAGACTGAACAAAAGAATCCCTTGGCTTTAAGGAGGATTTTAAAACAAGCGAGAAGCCCAGGTCAATCCCTCCCCTGTGAGCTACTTAGCCATTCATGCCAAGGGTGGGCAGATTAGGGGGAAAGGGACTGGCTTGGGAGGACCTAGAAGCTTCCTCCTCAGCTGGAATTGTCCACGGACTTTTGGCAGATTATACTCTGGGGCATATCGCAGACCGCAGCCCATCTGTCGCTCTCTTGTACCTGGGACTCAGCCTGTGTTCCTTGCTTTTTTTTTTTTCCCCTTTACAATTTTTTTAAAACATTTTTTTTTCTTTTGTAGAGACAAGGTCTTGCTATGTTGCCCAGGCTAGTCTTGAACTCCTGGCCTCAAGCAATCTTCCCACCTCGGCCTCCCAAAGTGCTAGGATTACAGGCGTGAACCCACCATGTCAGGCCTGTTCCTTGCCTTTTTAAAGCTGCCGTCCACATTCCTGATTTATTGGTATCTTCTAGTTTCTCCCTTATTTTCTTCCTAGCTTATCCCTTACTATTTTCTCTGCAAATAACTCCACAGACTCTTTTCATAAACTTAAGGGTGTTCTTGCTGATCACTCCGCAAAGCTAAGCAAAACTCTATCCCTAGGAAGGAGCAGGGCTGCCAGACTTCCAAAGGAACTTTGTCCCTGTCGGTGTAGCCGACTCTGTCCTTTCTATGGCGTTCAGCAGTGTCTCTGATGAGAATAGGCATTAAGCATCTATTTTGGGTCAGGCCCTGTGCTAATCACACTTTTACATTCACTGTCCTATTTAAATGAAACTTAGTGTATAAGTCTTTTGCCTCCTTGGTTAAATTTATCCCTAGGTATTTTATTATTTTTGATACTATTATAAATAGAATTATTTTCTTAATTTCTTTTTCTGATTGTTCATTGTTGGTGAGTAGACATACAATTGTTCTTTGTGTGTTGACTTTGTCCCCTGCTGCTTTACTGAATTCATTTATTAACTCTAGTAATTAAAAAAAACTTTTCTGCCAGTCTGGGCAATATAGTGAAGCCCTGTCTATACAAAAATAAGATTTAAAAATTAGCCAGGCATGGTGGCGCATAATTGTAGTCCCAGCTACTCAGAAGGCAAAGGCAGGAGGATCACATGAGCCCAGAAGTTGGAAGCTACAGTGAGCTATGATCACACAGGTGCACTCCAGTCTTGGGGACAAAGTGAGACCTTGGTCTCTAAATAAATAAATAAATAAAAGGGTTTACTGTGGATTATTTGGGATTTTCTATATATGTGATAATGTCATCTGCAAATAGAGATCGTTCTATTTCTTCCTTTCCAATTTGGATGCCTTTTCTTTTTCTTGCCTAATTTCTCTGGCTAGGACTGCCAGTACTGTGTTGAATACAACTGTGAAAGTGGGCATCTCTGTCTTGTTCCTGATCTTAGGGGAAAAGCTTTCAGCTTTTCACCATTGGTTTTGTGTTTTTTGTTTTAGATACAGGGTTTTGCTCTGTCACCCAGGCTGGAGTGCAGTGGTGCAATCAAAGCTCACTGCAGCCTTCAACTCCAGGGCTCAAGCAATTCTCCCACCTCAGCCTCCCATGTACCTGGAAATACAGGTGTGAGCCATCGTGCCCAGCTCCCCTTCATTCTTTAAGGCAAGGTAGTGTACTACATTAATTGATTTTCTTTCCTTTTTTTTTTTTTGAGACGGATTCTCGCTCTTTCACCCAGGCTGGACTCAGTGGCGCTATCTCGGCTCACTGCACGCTCCGCCTCCCGGGTTCACTCCATTCTCCTGCCTCAGCCTCCCGAGTAGCTGGGACTACAGACGCCCGCTACCATGCCCGGCTAATTTTTTGTATTTTCAATAGAGACAGTTTCACCGTGTTAGCCAGGATGGTCTCGATCTCCTGACCTCATGATCCACCTGCCTCAGCCTCCCAAAGTGCTGGGATTACAGGCGTGAGCCACTGCGCCCAGCCGATTTTCTTTTCTTTTCTTTTCTTTTTTTTTTTTTGAGACAGAGTCTCACTCTGTCGCCCAAGCTGGAGTGCAGTGGTGCAGTCTTGGCTCACTGCAACCTCTGCCTCCCAGGTTCAAGCGATTCTCCTGCTTCAGCCTCCCGAGTAACTGGGACTAGAAGTACTCGCCCCACCATGCCTGGCTAATTTTTGCTTGCTATTTATTTATTTATTTTATTTATTTATTTTTTTTGAGATGAAGTCTCCCACTGTCGCCAGGCTGGATTGTGCAGTGGCACAAACTCAGCTCACTGCAACCTCCGTCTCCCGGGTTCAAGCGATTCTCCTGCCTCAGCCCCCCGAGTAGCTGGGATTACAGGCGCGTGCCACCACACCCAGCTAATTTTTGTATTTTTAGTAGAGATGGGGTTTCCCCATGTTGGCCAGGATGGTCTTGACCTTGTGATCCGCCCACCTTGGCCTCCCAAAGTGCTGGGATTACAGGCATGAGCCACTGCGCCCAGACTGAATTTTTTTTTTTTTTTTTTGAGACAGTTTCACTCTTGTTGTCCAGGCTAGAGTGTAATGGAGTGACCTTGGCTCACTGCAACCTCCGCCTCCTAGGTTCAAGCGATTCTTCTGCCTCAGCCTCCCAAGTAGTTGGGATTACAGGCACGTGCCACCATGCCTGGCTAATTTTTGTATTTTTAGTAGAGACGGGGTTTCACCGTGTTGGCCAGGCTGGTCTTGATCTCCTGACCTTGTGATCCACCTGCCTTGGCCTCCCGAAGTTCTGGGATTACAAGTGTGAGCCACCCCACTTGGCCAGATTTTCTCATTTTTCTTGAGTCAGTTTCAGTAGTTTTTATATTTCTAGGAATTTATGCATTTAATCTAAATTATTGAATTAGTGGACATACGGTTGTTCACAGTATTGCCTTATAATTCCTTTTATTTCTGTAAGGTTGGCATTAATGCCTTCTCTTTTATTCTTGATTTTAGTAATTTGAGTCTTTTCTTCTTTTATCTTAGTCAGTCTAGCTAAAGGTTTGTGAATTTTGTTGGTCTTTTTAGGACCTTTTTTTTTTTTTTTTTTTGAGACAGAGTTTCACTCTTGTCATCCAGGCTGGAGTGCAATCTTGGCTCACTGCAACCTCCGCCTCCCGGGTTCAAACAATTCTCCTGCCTCAGCCTCCCAAGTAGCTGGGATTACAGGCGCTCGCCACCATGCCTGGCTAATTTTTGTATTTTTAGTAGAGATGGAGTTTCACCATGTTGGCCAGGCTGGTCTCGAACTCCTGACCTCAGGTGATCCGCCCTCCTCAGCCTCCCAAAGTGCTGGGATTATAGGTGTGAGCCACTGCGTCCGGCCAAGACCTAACTTTTAATTTCATTGATTTTCTGTGTCATTTTTATATTCTCTATTTCATTAATTTCCACTCTAATCCTTCTTTGGGTTTACTTTGCTCTTCTTTTTTCAATGTCTTAAGGTAGAAATTTAGGTTATTGATTTGAGATCATTCTTCTTTTCCTTTATTTATTTATTTAGAGACAGGGTCTTGCTCTGTCACCCAGGCTGGAGTGCAGTGGTGTGATTGTAGCTCACTGCAGTCTTGAACTCCTGGGCTCTGGCAACCCTCCTGCCTTGGCCTCCCAAGTAGCTGGGACTACAGGTACACGCCACTGTGCCTGGTTAATTTTTTAATTTTTATTTTGTAGTGACGGGATCTCACTATGTTCCCCAAGCTGGTCAGGAACTCCTGGGCTCAAGTGATCCTCCAGCCTTGGCCTCCCAAAGTGCTGGGATTACAGGCGTCAGCCACTGTGCCTGGCCTCATTCTTCTTTTTAAATGTAGACATTTACAACTTTAAATTTCCCTCTAAGCATTGTTTTACTTGCATACCGTAAGTTTTCATATGTTATATCTTCATTTTCGTTCATCTAAAAATATTCTGATTTCCCCTCTGATTTCATCTTTGACCCATTGGTTATTTAGGAGTGTTTGTTTTTCACATATTTGTGACTTTCCCAGATTAGTTATTAACTTTTACTCTAGTGTGATCAGAGAACGTACTTTGTACGATTTCAATTCTTTTAAATTTATGGAAGCTATTTTTTTTTAATTGAGGCTTTTTTTTTTAAAGATGGAGTCTTGCTCTGTTGCTCAGGCTGGAGTGCAGTGGCACCATCTCGGCTCACTGCAACCTCCGCCGCCCGACTTCAAGTGATTCTCCTGCCTCAACCTCCTGAGTAGCTGGGACCTGGTACCGGTGTGCATTACCACATCTGGCTAATTTATAAATTTTTTGGTAGAGACAGGGTTTCACCATGTTTGTGAGGCTGGTCTTGAACTCCTGACCTCAAGTGATCCACCTGCCTCAGCCTCCCAAGTGCTAGGATTATAGGCATGAACCACTGTGCCCAGCCCTAATTAAGGCTTTTTTATTTTTATTTATTTTTAATTCATTTATTATTATTACTTTTTGAGATGGAGTCTCACTCTGTTGCCGAGGCTGGAGTGCAGTGGCGTGATCTCCACTCATTGCAACTTCTGCCTCCCAGGTTCAAGTGATTCTCCTGCCTCAGCCTCCCAGGTAACTGGGATTACAGGTGTGTGCCACCATGCCTGGCTAAATTTTGTATTTTTGGTAGAGACAGGGTTTCTCCATGTTTGCCAGGCTGGTCTTGAACTCCTGACCTCAGGTGATCCACCTGCCTCAGCCTCCCAAAGTGCTGGGATTACAGGTGTGAATATATATATGTATATATGATGGTATACTACTCAACCATAAAAAGGAATGTATTAACAGCATTTGCAGTGACCTGGATGAAACTGGAGACTATTATTCTAAGGGAAGTAACTCAGGAATGGAAAACTAAACATTGTATGTTCTCACTGATATGTGGGAGCTAAGCTATGAGGACGCAAAGGCGTAAGAATGATACAATGGACTTTGGGGACTTGGAAGGAAGAGTGGGAGGGGGGTGAGGGATAAAAGACTCCAAATATGGTGCAATGTACACTGCTTGGGTGATGGGTGCACCAAAGTCTCCCAAATCACCACTAAAAAATGTACTCATGTAACCAAACACCACCTGTTCCCCAATAACTTATGGAAAAATAAAGTAATAAAAATTAAAAACAAACTAGTTTTATTTTTTGCTTTAACATGTTTACTAATATAGATGTAATTTATTTAGCCAGTCTCCTATTAGTGTATAATCAGTATATTTTCTGTTGTTCCAAATTATAACCAAAACTGAGGTACATAGATTTCATATTTGAATATTTCTGTATATACCTAAGTATTTATTTAGGATACATTCTTCAAAGTGGCATACCTTGGTTAAAGACTATCTAAGCTTGAGGCCAGGCACAGTGGCTCAAGCCTGTAATCCTAGCACTTTGGGAGGCTGAGGTGGGTGGATCACGAGGTCAGGAGTTCAAGACCAGCCTGGCCAAGATGGTGAAACCCCATCTCTACTAAAAATACAAAAATTAGCTGGGCACAGTGGCAGGTGCCTGTAATCCCAGCTACTTGGGAGGCTGAGGCAGGAGAATTGCCTGAACCCAGGCGGTGGAGGTTGCAGTGAGCCAAGATCACACTACTGTGCTCCAGGCTGGGCAATAGAGTGAGATTCTATCTCAAAAAAAAAAAAAAAAGACTAAGGTTTTAAGGCTTTTGATATATTTCGTTAGATTGTCTTCCTGGAAGATTTTCATTCCAAGCATTAGCTCCAGAAAATTCAGGTTTCTCTACATAGCTGCTAACACTGGGTATTATCATTCTTTTGGATCTTCTGCTACCTGCACTCCATCCACTGTGGACATTTATCATTACCAATGTCCAACATTCACTCCTTTTTCTCCTGCTAAGAGTACTTCTATTTTCCTTTGGGAAACTCCCCTCTCAAACTCTCAATTTCAGACTGAGGGGTCTGACATATTCCCTAGCTCCAGGGATGAGCAGGTGAACTCTGTCTAGCTCATCAGTGTCTCATGCATTGGCTCAAGGAGGATCATATGGCCCTACCAGCCCAGTGAGAACCAAACCCTGGACTTTTACTGGAATATTGAACAAGAGTTCTTTTTTCTCCCCTGAGTTTGCTAACCTGGTAGGATATAAGCCCAAAGCTTCTGGAGACCACATGGAGATGTTCTGCCTGACGTTAAAGCTGACACAAAAGGAAGCAGCTGAGAGATGGAGAAATGAGTGACAGCTTCCTGGGGAACATCATTTGAGAGTTCCCCTGGATCCAGCCATTCCTGAAGCAATTCAAGCTTCTCTTTTTTTTTTTTTTTTTTTTTTTTTTTTTTTGAGACAGTGTCTCACTCTGTCCCCCAGGCTGGAGTGCAGTGGCACAATCTCAGCTTGCTGCAACCTCCACCTCCCAGGTTCAAGTGATTCTCCTGCCTCAGCCTCCTAAGTAACTGGGATTACAGTCATGCACCATCACACTCAGCTAATTTTTGTATTTTAAGTAGAGACGGGGTTTCACTGTGCTGGCCAGGGTGGTCTCGAACTCCTGACCTCAGGCGATCCATCCACCTCGGCCTCCCAAAGTGCTAGGATTACAGGCATGAGCCACCACGCCCAGCTACGATTCAACCTTCTTGAACTCCTTGGGGTTATGTAAGCTAATATATTTATCAGCAGCAGCAGCATTAGTAAGTATTTTGCACAAACTAGTTTAATTCTGTTTTGGTCACTTGCAACAGAAATAATGCTGATGATGCTGGGTGCTGTGGTTCACACCTGTAATCCCAGCACTTTGGGAGGCTGAGGTTAGTGGATTGCTTGAGCTCAGGAGATTGAGACCTGCCTGGACAACATGGCGAAACTACGTCTCTACCAAAATATAAAAAATTAGCCAAGCGTGATGGCACGCAACTGTGGTCCCATCCCAACTACTCGGGAGGCTGAGGCAGGAGAATCACTTGAACCTGAGAGGTGTAGGTTGCAGTGAGCCAAGATGGTGCCACTGCACTCCAACCTGGGTGACAGAGCAAGACTCTATCTCGATAAATGAATGAATGAATGAATGTAGGTTTTTCTAAGTAAGGGTCACCCAGGGAAGCTTTATTTTATTTTATTTGAGACAGAGTCTCCCTCTGTTGCCCAGGGTGGAGTGCAGTGGCTTCATCATAGTTTGCTGCAGCTTCAAACTCTCAGACTCAGGCTATCCTCCCATCTTAGCCTCTGGGACTACAGGCACAGGCCACCATGGCCAGCTAATTTTTTTTTTTTTTTTTTTTAGTAGAGATGAGGTCTCGCTATGTTGCCCGGGCTGGTCTCAAACTCCTGGGCTCAAGCATTCTGCCCACCTCAGTCTCCCAAAGTGCTGGGATTATAGGCATGAGCCACCACATCCAGCTGAGATGACTATTTTTGATCAGTCACACATCCCTTTGCCCCTTTCCCCATCTTTCCCATTTATTTAGCTTACTTTCTGGTATAATCCATATTCATTGCTTTTATTACTATTAGGTAAATATTGTTACCTGTTGAATTGGCTAGTATATAATAATTACAACTTCTTCTTACACACAATTTTTCACTTCTCCTGGAGTTAATGTTTTCCTCCCTTTTATTACTTGTTTTGTCTTTGAAATTGACTAAATATTCCCGCAGTCTCCAGTAGTTCAATAAAAGACTTTCTTTTCTTTTTTTTTTTTTCCAGATGGAGTCTTGCTCTGTTGCCCAGGCTGGAGTGCAGTGGTGCAATCTTGGCTCACTGAAACCTCCCTGTCCCGGGTTCAAGTGATTCTCCCTGCCTCAGCCTCCCAAGCAGCTGGGACTACAGGTGCGCACCACCATGCCTGGCTAATTTTTGTATTTTTAGTAGAGACAGGGTTTCACCATGTTGGCCAGGCTGGTCTCGAACTCCTGACCTCAGGTGATTCACCTGCCTCAGCCTCCCAAAGTGTTGGGATTACAGGCATGAGCCACTGCACCTGGCCCAGTAAAAGACTTTCAATTCAATTTTACCCACGGTCATTCATGTCAAATAATTTGTCAGGTTTTTTTTTTTTTTTTTTTTTTGTGCCTCAGAACTCCCCCTCTTCCCCCAGACTCACTCCAATCTGGATGGAGGCTACACAGCTATTGTCCATCAATTTCTCTTTGTCATCAACCTAAGGAGTCCCTTCTCTCATCTTTGTGTAGCCCCTGTTTTCTGTATTCCCAGAGTTTCTATTTCCTGGCTTATGCTCACTTTTTGTTGAAGCATGTCCTCCAGTAATTTATGGAAAGTAATTTTTTGAGACTTCGTAAGCCTGAAATTGTCCTTTTTCTACCCTCATGCTTGATTTATCAGTATAGACTTCTAAGCAGTGTCCATCATTGCTGCTGAGAAGTTTGGGGCCATTTTGATTCTGTTTTTTTTTTTTTTTTTTTTTTTTTTTGAGACGGAGTCTCGCTTTGTCGCCCAGGCTGGAGTGCAGTGGCATGATCTCGGCTCACTGCAAGCTCCGCCTCCCAGGTTCACGCCATTCTCCTGCCTCAGCCTCCCGAATAGCTGGGACCACAGGCGCCCACCACCACGCCTGGCTAATTTTTTGTATTTTTAGTAGAGATGGGGTTTCACCGTGTTAGCCAGGATGGTCTCGATCTCCTGACCTCGTGATCTGCCTGCCTTGGCCTCCCAAAGTGCTGGGATTACAGGCGTGAGCCACTGCTCCTGGCTGTGCCATTTGATTCTTGACCCTGCTTTTTCTTCTCTCTCTCTGGAAGCTCTTAGGATTCTCTCTATCCTTGGGTTCTGAAATGTCAGGTCTAGTTTATGTGGTTGAGATAGGTTCAGATGGGCTGACTCCATCCCTGGATCTAGAGTTGGGTATGTGACCCAGCAGGTCCAGTCAGTGTGTTCCATCCTCCCTGGCCACAGTAATTAATTTCAGGATGGGTGCATGACCCAGTCTTCCACTGAGACTCACTTCTCACACTTTGATTTGAACTGGTAGGAACAGAATCTCTTTCCTGTGATTTGTACCTGGAATAATATAAGCCTATCATAGCTGAGGATCTCCATGAAGAGAAGGCCTTTCTGAAAGAGAAGCTTCATTACATCTATTTCTGTGTAACAAATTACCCGAAAACTTGGTGACTTCAAACAACAAACATTTATATCCAGGCACAGCTTAGCTGGGTGGCTCTTCCTTAAAGCCTCTCATAAGGCTGCAATCAGGGTGTTGGATGGGGCTGCAGTCTCATTTGATGGCTCAACTGGGGAGGATCTGCTTCCATTCTCACTCATGTGGTTATTAGTAGAATTCAGTTTCTCACTGAATTTAGGACCTCAGTTCCTTACTGGCTATTGGCCAAAGGCTTCCTTCAGTTCCTTACCATGTAGGCCTCTCCTTAGGGCAACTCTCAACATCGTAGCTGGCTTCCATCAGAGTGAGAGCAAGCAAAACAGAAGCCAGAATCTTCTTGTAAACTACTCACGGAAATGACATTCCACCACTTTGCCATATGCTAGTCATTAGAACGAATTACTAGGTCAGGCCTACATTGAAGGGGAGGGGATTACAAAACAGCATGAATAACAGGAGGTGGGAATTGTTGGGAACAATTTTATTAATTTTTAATTTATCTCTTAGAGACAGGGTTTTACTCTGTCACCCAGGCTGGAGTACAGTGGTAGCAATCATAGCTCACTATAACCTTGAACTCCTGGGCTCAAGCAATCCTCCTGCCTCAGCCTCCCAAGTAGCTAAAACTACAGGCATGCACCACCATGCCCAGTAGTTTGTTTAATTTTTGGTAGACAGGGGCTTTGTTGCCCAGGCTGGATTCAAACTCCTGGCCTCACACAATCCTCCTGCCTCAGCTTCCCAAAGTGCTGGGATAATAGGCACTTGGCCATTGGAGCCATTTTAGAGGAAGCCTATCACAAAAGCCAATACTGAGAGAAACAGACCTGAGAGCCAAGAAGTGACTGAGTCCAGTGACTTCACTTCAGCCCTTGAATGTTGCCATTAGGTTTTGTCATATGCAATATTCTGAAATGTGCTAGAATGGCTGCCCAAACATTAGGGGGAACAATTCATCCCCATTTGCCCAGGACTTTCCTGGTTTTAACACTAAAAGTCCTATATCTTGGGAAACTCCTATATCCCAGGTGAATTAGGACAGTTGACACCTGACATAGCAGTTATTTGATGACCAAAATTAAACCAATGCAGCTTGCTCAGGATTCTATGGCATGGTAGTACAGAAAACATGGACTCTGGAGTTAAGTTTTGGATTCAGATTCTGGCACTATCATTTACTAGCTTTGTGGCTCTGGGCAACTCACCTCGCCTGTTTTCTCACCACTAAAATAGGCATCAGAATCTCTACATTGAAAAATGCCCATGTGGATTGGAGAGAATTTATGTAAAAACATGATTATCTCTGCCAGACATGGTGGCTCACACCTGTAATCCCAGCACTTTGGGAGGCTGAGGCAGGTGGATCACCTGAGGTCAGGAGTTTGAGACCAGCCTGGCCAACATGGCAAAACCCTGTCTCTGCTAAAGAATACAAAAATTAGCCAGGCGTGGTGGCATGCGCCTGTAGTCCCAGCTACTTGGGAGGCTGAGGCAGGAGAATTGCTTGAACCCAGGAGGCGGAGGTTGTAGTGAGCCGAGATGGCGCCACTGCACTCCAGCCTGGGTGACAGAGCAAGACTCTGTCTCAAAAACAAAAACAAAAACATAACATGGTTATCTCAACAAATGGTACTGTCATCATTATAAGTATTTTGAGGTTCTCAACCAACTGTAACTTTTTTCAGACAAGACACATGGGAATTTCCTGGGTCTTAGATCCCAGTTTGATATTCAGATGCTATACTGTGTGCCTGGGCCTGTGGAGGTCCGTCTGATTTCCCTAGGGCAGAACTGCTCAGAAAATTAATGCTTAGGTTTTCATAGAGTCCTTGGGCATGTTTGATAATCAAGAGCCAATCAATCAAAGCCCTTCTCTCTCTGTTTTTTGGAGAAAAGGTCTTACCCTTTCACCCAGACTGGAGTGCAGTGTGTGATCATAGCTCACTACAGCCTTGAACTCCTGGGTTAAAACAATCCTCCCACCTCAGCCCCCCAGTAGCTGGGACCACAGATGTGTGCCCCATACCCAGCTAATTTTATTTTCTTTTTCTTTTTTTTCTCTATCAATCACCCAGGCTGGAGTGCAGCGGCACAATCTCGGCTCACCGCAACCTCTGCCTCCCAGGTTCAAGCAATTCTCATGCCTCAGCCTCCTGAGTGGCTGGGATTACAGGCACCTGCCACCATGCCCAGTTAGCTTTTTTGTTTTGTTTTTTGAGATGGAGTCTTTCTCTACCACCGAGGCTGGAGTGCAGTGACACAATCTTGGCTCACTACAATCTCTGCCCTTCTGGGTTCAAGCGATTCTCCTGCCTCAGCCTCCCAAGTAGCTGGGATTACAGACGTGCACCACCACACCCAGCTAATTTTTGTTTTTTTAGTAGAGATGGGGTTTCACCATGTTGGGCAGGCTGGTCTCGAACTCCTGACCTCAAGTGATCTGCCTGCCTCAGCCTCCCAAAGTGCTGGGATTACAGGCGTGAGCCACCACGCCCAGCCAATTTTTGTATTTTCAGTAAAGATGGGCTTTCACCATGTTGGCCAAGCTGGTCTCGAACTCCTGACCTCAAGTGATCCACCCGCCTTGGCCTCCCAAAGTGCTAGGATTACAGACATAAGCCACCATGCCCAGCTCCAGCTAATTAAAAAAAAAAAACAAAAAACAAAAAACTTTTTTTTAAGAGATGGGGTCTATGTTGCCCAGGCTGATCTCAAAATCCTGGGCTCAAGTGATCCTCCCACTTTGGCCTCCCAAAGTGTTGGGCTCATTGGCATGAGCCATCATGTCCTGCTGGAGTGTTTGTTTTTTGTTTTTTTTTTTGAGACGCAGTCTCACTCTGTCGCCAGGCTGGATCTCAGCTCACTGCAAGCTCCACCTCCCGAGTTTAAGCGATTCCCCTGCCTCAGCCTCCTGAATAGCTGGAACTACAGGCGCACGCCACCATGTCTGGCTAATTTTTGTATTTTTAGTAGAGATGGGGTTTCATCATGTTGGCCAGGCTGGTCTTGAACTCCTGACCTTGTGATATGCCCACCCTGGCCTCCCAAAGCTGGGATTACAGGTGTGAGCCACCACACCTGGGCAAGCGTGCATTTTTATTTATTTATTTATTTTTTTGAGACGGAGTCTTGCTCTGTCGCCCAGGCTGGAGTGTAGTGGCGCCATCTCCGCTCACTGCAAGCTCCGCCTCCCAGGTTCACGCCATTCTCCTGCCTCAGCCTCCCGAGTAGCTGGGACTACAGGTGCCCACCACCACGCCCGGCTAATTTTTTGTATTTTTAGTAGAGACAGGGTTTTACCATGTTAGCCAGGATGGTCTCGATCTCCTGACCTCGTGATCCACCTACCTGGGCCTCCCAAAGTGCTGGGATTACAGGCGTGAGCCACCGCGCCCGGCCAAGCGTGCATTTTTATAATACTCCCAGGTGATGCTGCTGAAGACAGTCCACAGTCCACACTGAGAAACCACATACCAGGCCACCTGTACAGATCATAAAAATAAAGCCCCTAGCACACTGCCTGGCACATGGTTTGTGCCCAGGAAACAGCACTAGAGAGACCATGCAAGTCGCTCTAGACCCACGAGGGAACTGATGCTTGCTCAGTCCCATGCAGTCTGGGGTGTCACATCCAGACCTCCCCTGCCCTGCCCCCAGCCTTCCCAGGGAAAGAGAATAACAGCAGCAACATTTTCATTTTATAAGCACTTGGTTTTATTGCACAGAAGCAATTGAAAGTGAACTCCAGTGGAAAGTGCGCCCTGGCATAATTCAGTGGCCAGTCCCCGGCCCCACCTGGACCGCTCTTCCAGAATAGAGAGCTCTGGGCAAGGGCTTGACCACTCCTTTGGAAAACAGAAGGCATTTGGGAATAGGTTAAGACATCTCAAGCATAATGTATTTCTAACTGCTCATTCATTATTGCGGTCATCTGTCAGTTGCACATAGAGGCAATAAATGCACTTATTTGGAAAGGAGGGGGGCAGTTTTTATAGTCAAGTGTTTACGTGTGGCATTCGGCATGTATCACATTCAGCTACATAAGCTATCATAATTGTCCATCGCCTGGGGAGGGCCTGGGGGCAGGGGCCTGGGAGTGCCCTCTCTTGCTAACATATTGCTAACAGAAATTCCTGTTTGAAGAAGGAGGCCCCGTCATCTAAGCAGTTTCTTCTTACATAAAGACAGAAAAAGTGAAAATTGTGTTACTCTGATCCTTGAGCTCCGGGACTCTTCTGAGTTTCTTTGGCTGTTCCGGATGTTCCTTTCTCCCTGCCTTACTTCCCCTTGGCGGCCTTGTCTTCTGTGGCCTTCTCTGGAGGCTTGCTGTCTTTTTGGTCTGTGCTGGAGGATTTTTCAGCCTTTTCTGCCTTAGGCTTGCTAGGCTCTTTTGAGAGGGTCTTGTCATCTTCCTTGGCTTTGGCCTCTGTCTTGGGTTTCTCCTCAGGCTTCTTGGCCTTCTCCTCCTTGGTGTCTTTTTTCTCCGGTGCTGCCTCCTTCTTCTCTGCTGGTTTGCTGGGTTCCTTGGCCTTGGCATCATCTGGTTCCTTCTTGGCTACCTCTGTCTTTTCTTTGGGTTTAGCGTCTTCCTTCACCTCCACCTTGGCAGGAGCCTCCTTCTCTGGGGTGGGGACTTTTTTCTTATCTTCAGCCTCTTCCTTCTTGGCTTCAACTTTGGATTCTTTGGGCTTTTCGACAGCAGGTTCCTTCTTCTCCTCCACCTTGGGCTTTGGAGCCTCCTTCTTGGGTGCCTCCTCTTTCTTGCTGTCCTTCTTCTCCTCTGTTTTTGGTGTGGCAGGGGCTTTCTCTTCCTCTGCCTTCTTTGGGGGCTCTTTGACTTTCACCTCCTGGGGCTTCTCCTCCTCCTTCACTGGGGACTTCACCTCTTCCTTTTTTGGGATCTCCTTCTCAGGGGCCTTGGCATCCTCCTTCAGGGGAGATTTCGCCTTCTCTGGGGACTTGACCTCCTCCTTGACAGGGCTTTTGGCCTTTTCAGGGAATTTGTCTGCAGGGGACCTTGCTTCCTCCTTCGCTGGAGTCTTGGCTTCTGGAGACTTCACATCAAGAGTCTTGGCCTTCTCTGGGGACTTGGCCTTCTCTGGGGACTTAGCTTCTTCCTTCACTGGGGACTTGGCCTTCTCGGGGGTCTTTGCTTCTTCCTTCACTGGGGACTTGGCCTTCTCAGGGGACTTTGCTTCTTCCTTCACTGGGGACTTGGCCTTCTCAGGGGACTTTGCTTCTTCCTTCACTGGGGACTTGGCCTTCTCAGGGGACTTTGCTTCTGCCTTCACTGGGGACTTGGCCTTCTCAGGGGACTTTGCTTCTGCCTTCACTGGGGACTTGGCCTTCTCAGGGGACTTGGCCTCTTCCTTCTCTGGGGACTTGGCCTTCTCAGGGGACTTTGCTTCCTCCTTCGTTGGAGACTTGGCCTTTTCCGGGGACTTGACCTCAGCTGGAGATTTTGCTTCTTCCTTCACTGGGGACTTGGCCTCAGCCGGTGACTTTGCTTCTTCCTTCACTGGGGACTTGGCCTTCTCTGGAGACTTGGCCTCAGCCGGTGACTTTGCCTCTTCCTTTGCTGGGGACTTGGCCTTCTCGGGGGACTTGACCTCAGCTGGAGATTTTGCTTCCTCCTTCTCTGGGGACTTGGCCTCAGGCGGTGACTTTGCCTCTTCCTTTGCTGGAGACTTGGCCTTCTCAGGGGACTTGACTTCGGCTGGGGATTTTGCTTCCTCCTTCTCTGGGGACTTGGCCTCAGCCGGTGACTTTGCCTCTTCCTTTACTGGTGACTTGGCTTCCTTCTCTGGGGATGCAGCCTCTTCTGCTGGGGGAGACTTTGTTTCTTCTTCTCCCCCTTCTGCCTCCTCTTCTTCACCCCCTTCTTCCTCCTTGCCCTCCTCCTCTTTGGCCTCTTTCTCCTCTTCTTCAGTCACTTCTTCAGTCACTTGGGTCTCCTCTGTCTGTTCCTCCACAATCACAGTTTCTTTCTCAGACTTCTCCACCACTTTGATCTTCTCTTCGCTTTTCACCTTTATGTGAGTGGACACAGAGGGAATTTTGGGGAGTCCTTCTGGAAGCGAGAAAGGAATTGGGCCAAAGCCAATCCGACACTCTTCACCTTCCAGGAGTTTTCTGCAGGATGGATCACGGAACACATTAGTATAAACTCAGGGCAAATTCACTATTTGGGTTCTTCCTAGACTATCCTGAAGGTCACTGACATCGAATGATATGGGTTTTGGTGGAACAGGAATGTGAATGGTGGGCATTATGAGACTAGAGAAAGTCACTTGGCAAATCATTCCAGTGACCACCCAGAATGTGTACCCCGGTGGGACTGGTCTTTTTTTGTTGATGTTGTTGTTTTTGAGAGGGTCTCACTGTGTTGCCCAGGCTGGAACAGCTGGTCTTCTTCAACACAGCTAAGCCTGAAACTTTTGAAATAAAACAACTTTTGCCCCATAAAAAATGGCCCTCAAGAGAAAGCTCCTAAATAAATTTAACAAAAGTTAAATTTATTGTCCCTCAAACTAAAATATTATTCAAGAGAACCCTGGGAGCCTGAGCAAACAATTCCACTTTTTTTTTTCCTTTTTTTGAGACGGAGTCTTGCTCTGTCACCTAGGCTGGAGTCCAGTGGTACAATCTCAGTTCACTGCAACCTCTGCCTCCCAGATTCAAGCAATTCCCCCAGCTTCAAGCAATTCTCCTGTCTCAGCCTACTGAGTAGCTGGGAGTACAGGCGCACGCCACCACGTCCAGTTAATTTTTGTATTTTTAGTAGAGACGGGGGTTTCACCATATTGGTCAGGCTGGTCTCGAACTCCTGACCTCAGCCGATCCACCCGCCTAGGCCTCCCAAAGTGCTGGGATTACAGGTGTGAGCCACCGCACCCGACCACAATTCTACTTTTATAAATTTGGGTTTAAGAGGTCTTAGAACGCTCCCATTTGAATCGCGAGTGTCTCTCATCACCCTGTATTACCATCTTTTGAGTTTCAGGAATAGGGTAGAGGCCGCAGTTTCTCCTCTTGGCTTTGCTCCTCACTAGATGGGTGACCTTGGCCAAGACACACCAACTCTTTGAGCCTCAATTTCCTCACTGGAAAAAGAGGGTCATTAGAGTCCCTACGTCAGAGGGTTGTTTCAGTGAGACAATGAATGGAAAAGACTTGGCAGAATGCTTGTCTCAGAGTAAGTGTGGGGGTTACCCCTCAGACTAGTACTTCCCAAATTTAGCAGCACACAGATGACCGGGGATCTTATCAAAATGCAGATTCTGATTCAGCAGGTCTGGGGAGGGGCTGAGCGTCTGTCTTTTGTTGTTGTTGTGTTGTTGTTATTTTTGAGACAGTGTCTCACTCTGTGATGACAGGCTGGAGTGCAGTGGCACGATCATAGCTCACTGAAGCCTCCAACTCCCAGGCTCAGGTGATCCTCCCACGTCAGCCTCCTGAGTAGCTGAGACTAAAGGCATGTGCCACCATGCCCAGCTATTTTTTTTTTTTTTGTATTTTTTGTAGAGATGGGGTTTTGCCATGCTGCCCAGCTTGGTCTCTGAACTGAAACAATCTGTCTGCCTTGGTCTCCCAAAGTGCTGGGATTACAGGCATGAGTCACTACACCCAACCAAGAGACTATCTTTCTGATAAGCTCTTGAATGATGCCAATTCTGCTGGTTCATGTGCCATGCTTTGAGTAGCAAGATTACAGACGAGAGCCAAGAGGTAGGAAGCCACAGGTCACCAGTCAGAACTGGGACAAGTCCTCAGGGAATCAGTCCTGCTCCCTAGCCCTGCTCCCCCCGGTCTTATTCCTCAGACTGGATTTCTCAAGGCTGCCACTGACTAAGGGTTCCCTCTGTAGCAGCCCAGTGGTACCTGTGCTTCCTGGATTAGCTTGGGAATGGGATTAGCTCATCTTCCTGACAACCCTATGACATGGTTGCCCTTATTATCATCTCCACTTTATATCCCCAAGAAATGAATGCTTGCAGAGCTAAGAAACTCTAAAGGACAGAGTTTGAAAGGTCCCTGACTCAAGCACCTCTTTTCCCTTCAAAGCAGGCCTCTGGCTGGCTGGATCTGGGGAGGGGATAAGGAACTTCCACCGTCTAAATCATTTCAGAATGAAAGTAAGTCACTCTCAAGACTCATTGGCTGGGCACAGTGGCTCACGCCTGTAATCCCAGCACTTTGGGAGGCCGAGGTAGGCGGATCACCTGAGGTCAGGAGTTCGAGACCAGCCTGGCCAACATAGCGAGACCCAGTCTCTACTAAAAATACAAAAAATAGCTGGGTGTGGTGGCATGTGCCTGTAATCCCAGCTACTCGGGAGGCTGAGGCAGGAGAATCACTTGAACTCAGGACACAGAGGTTGCAGTGAGCCGAGATAATGCTGCTGCACTCCAGCCTGGGCAACAGAGTGAGATTCCATCTCAAAAAAAAAAAAAAAAAAAAAGACTCATGTCTCTCAGAGTAAAAGAGTGGCTGCCAGGGGCTGAAGGAAGGAGAGAATGATAATGACGGTTTCTTGGGTATGGAGTTTCAGTTTGCGATGATGAAAACAGTTCTGGAGACAGACAGTGGTTATGGCTGCACAGTAATGTGAAAGTACTTAATATCACTGAACTGCCTACTTAACATTGTTGAATGGGGCTGGTCATGGTGGCTCTCGCCTGTAATCCCAGGACTTTGGGAGGCTGAGGTGGGCAGAGGGCTTGAGTTCAGGAGTTTGAGACCAGCCTGGCCAACATGGTGAAACCCTGTTTCTACTAAAAAAAAAAAAATAAAAATTAGCCAGGCGTGGTGGCGGGCACGTGTAATCCCAGTTACTCAGGAGGCTGAGGCATGGGAATCGCTTGAACCCAGGAGGGAGAGGCTGCAGTGGGCAGAGATCGCACCACCATACTTCAACCTGGGCAACACAGTAAGTCTGTCTCAAAAAATAAATAAAAAATAAAAGAAATTGGTTCAATGGTAAATTGTATGTTTTGTCTATTTTGCCGCAATTTAAAAAGAATTTTGTCCCTAAGACAGGTAGGCTGCCTAAACGGGGTCTTGAAACCCAAGGCTTAGCGTCTCGCAGGAACACAAGCTTTCTTCACCATGTGACAGCCCCTGTGCGTCTCACCTGTAAGCGGCTATCTCTATATCCAGAGCCATCTTGACATTGAGCAGGTCCTGGTATTCTCGCAGCTGGGCGGCCATCTCCCACTTGGTGTTCCTCAGCTCAGCGTCCAGCTGCTGAATGGCTTCCTGGGAAGGAGAGGTGACACACATCACATGCCAGCCAGTGTCTGGCCCTCAGTACCAGAGAAGCTGCGGCGGGCTGTGCGACCCCAGAGCAGGCCCATCCAGCCAGGCTCACTGGGGCCAACCCCAACCCTGCCAGAGCTGTAGGGTCCTCATTAGTGGACGTGGAACAATCTGGAGCAAAAATCCTGCTGTATAGTGACCTCAGACTGGAGAAGGTCTGAAATGAAATTCATCAGATGTCAACAGTTGTTCCTGCTGGTTTGGCTGGCAGGATAATGGGATAACATTTAGAGATCTTGAGCTTAGAAAGTGCTCAGTGAGGCCGGGAGTGGTGGCTCAAGCCTGTATTCCCAACACTTTGGGAAGCTGAGGAGGGTGGATCACTTGAGGTCAGGAGTTTGAGACTAGCCTGGCCAACATGGTAAAACCCTGTCTCTACTAAAAATACAAAAATTAGCGGGATGTGGTGGCACATACCTGTAATCCCAGCTACTTGGGAGGCTGAGACAGGAGAATTGCTTGAACCCAGGAGTCGGAGGTTACAGTGAGCCAAGATCATACCACTGTACTCCAGCCTGGGAGACATAGCGAGACTCTGGTGGTTCATGCCTGTAATCCCAGCATTTTGGAAGGCTGAGGAAGGAGGATCACTTCAGCCCAGGAGTTTGAGACCAGCCTGGGCAACACAGTGAGACCTCATTTCTACAAAACAATTAAATAATTAGCTGGGCATGGTGATGTGCACCTATAGTCCCAGCTACTCAGGAAGCTGAGGGAGGAGGATTACTTGAGCCCGGAAGTACAAGACTTTAGTGAGCTATGATCTCGCTGTCACATTCTGGCTTGGGCAACAGCGTGAGACTGTGTCTCAAAAAAGAAAAAAAAAAAAACCCAGTGGGAGCAGGGCCTTGCCTGCTTTTGCTCCTGTCTTTCTCCAGTGTGCCACAGTGTCCACCACACAGTCAGGGTTTGGTAGGCATTGATGACTGCCTCAGCCTTCTGAGTAGCTAGGACTGTAGGCACACACAACCATACCCAGCTAATTTTTTTAATTTTTTTAAATTTTCTTGAGACAGAGTCTCGCTCTGTCGCTCTGTCGCCCAGGCTGGGTGCAGTGGCACGATCTCGGCTCACTGTAACCCCCATCTCCCAGGTTCAGTTGAAGCGATTCTCCTGTCTCAGCCTCCCAAGTAGCTGGGATTACAGGCACGCACCACCATGCCCAGTTAATTTTTGTATCTTTTTAGTAGAGACAGGGTTTCACCATGTTGGCCAGGCTGGTCTCAAACTCCTGACCTCAAGTGATCCACCCGCCTTGGCCTCCTAAAGTGCTGGGATTACAGGCATGAGCCACTAGGCCCAGCCGCCAGTTATCTTTAAAAGAAGGAATCTGCTAAGGTCTTCCCCTGGCCACCCAAGACACTGGTTGCTGTTTACAGAATGTCCACTGCGACCAAGACCAACCTAGTGAGTGGCAGAGCTGGGATTCAAATCTAGAAAGATTCGAATGTTGAAGACCTTGCCGAGCTCATTCACAAGTTCACACTAATCTCATTTAAAGTATATCTCTTTAGGCCAGGCACGGTGCCTCACACCTGTAATCCCAGCACTTTGGGAGGCTGAAGTGGGAGGATTGCCTGAGCCCAGGAGTTTGAGACCAGCCTGGCCAACATGGTGAAACCCTGTCAATACTAAAAATACAAAAGTTAGCCAGGTGTGGTGGCATGCACCTGTAGTCCCCGCTACTCGGGAGGCTGAGGCACGAGAATCTCTTGAGCCCAGGAGGCAGAGGTTGCAGTGAGCTGAGATCATGCCACTGCACTCCAGCCTGGGCAACAGAGTGAGACTCCATCTCAAAATAAATAAATAAATAAATAAATAAATAAATAAATAAAAGTCTATCTCTTTAATCTTTCCAGCTCTGCAAAGCAGGCTTTTTTTTTTTTTTTTTTTTCATGGCTGGAAAGGAACTCAGATTCAGAGAATTAGATAACTTTCCTAGGGTCACACAGCTGGAAAGTGCTGGTATGTCTGACTCCAAGGGCCACAATCTTAACCACTACAACCCCACTCAGTGAGGGACAGTAACTTGTCCAGGGCTACCCAATCAGGTAAGGCAGTCTGGCTGTCTGCCTTGCCCCTGCCCACCTGGTAGGAGGCAATGTCGGCCTGATGACGGTCCTCCAGCTCAGAGCGCTGCCTCTCCAGTGAGTCCTTGGTGCTTTTCAGTGCCTCCAGCTCTGTGGTCCTGGCCTGCAGCTGACGCCGGTACTCAGTTATCTCCTCCTGCGCTGAGCGCATAGCGTCTGTGTTCACCTTGGCTGCCTCCGACAGTCGGTCCAGCCTCACTGGGGGAGAAGGTAGCAGGGCACAGGGTTAGACACACCTGGACTGGGTTCTAATGCCCAGATTTTTTTCTTTGTTCTTTTTCTTTTTTTTTTTTTTTGAGACGGATTCTCGCTCTCGCCCAGGCTGGAGGGCAGTGGTGCACTCTCAGCTCGCTGCAAGCTCCGCCTCCTGGGTTCAAGCGATTCTCCTGCCTCAGCCTCCCGAGTAGCTGGGATTACAGGCACCTGCCACTACGCCCAGCTAATTTTTTGTATTTTTAGTAGAGATGGGGTTTTGCCACATTCGCCAGGCGGTCTTGAACTCCTGACCTCATGATTCGCCCACCTCGGCCTCCCAAAGAGCTGGAATTACAGGTGTGAGCCACCACGCCCGGCCTAATGCCCAGATTTTGAAGGTGACACATGTGGATTGACCTACTGCGTGTGCCAGACACCATCCTGTATGCTTGACTCACTCTGTCCTGTGAGATAAAGGCAAGTGACTACTCCCCAAGGCCACCCAGCTAGTGAGTGGCAGAGCTGGGACTCAAATCCCCAAAGATCATGCTCTGTCTCCCCCAGTGTGGGATCCAAAAACCCTGCAGGGCAGAGGAAACCCTGGTCCTAATGCCTGGTCCAGCTCCCTAGCAAGGGCCTGGCAGTGCTGGTGGTTCAGATGTGATACCTGGCCCATGGGGCTTAACACTGAGCTGGAGGCTGCAGGTTTGTGGCTGAACAAGTTAATGAGCTTGTGACCTTTAGGAGGCATGAGGGTACCGTGAGCAATCAGGTCACCTTGTAGCCATGGTCCCTTCCTTACAGGTTTCTGCGCACAGTCCAAGGTCAGTGCAGAGCCCGTGGCCTGGGTGCCAACCCCTGTCCCTTTCTCCACCTAGCTGAGCATTGCCCCTGAGCATTGGTAGCCACACCCCGGCCCCCGCCAGCAACCCGCTCGTGGTTCCCAGGAAACCTTCCAGAGGCAGTGGAGGTCTGGAGACTGGTCTTTAGCTCGTAAAAGTGAACATCCTGAATCCCCAGATAGTGGCACTCAGGGCACAAGTCTTGGCGGGGAGGAAGGAAGCCAGCTGAGTGGGCCAGTACAATCCTGGGACGTCTGCCCCTACGACTGGCAAACCCAAAAGAGGTTTGCGCAGGGAGGGGCCTTGCTGCGGAGATGGAGGAGGGGATGGTTCTGCTCTGCAGAGGAGTGGAAAAGGAACAGAAAAAGCTATGCATCAAAATCCCAGCTTTCCCTGCTAGTGCTGGCAAAGACTTAGAAACCATCCAGGTGGTTGGAGATTCTCAACTATTGTCGATCACAGATGCTTTTGGAAAATCACTGAAGCCTCTGCCCTCTCTCTCAAAAACAACGCAAAGTTTTACAGACAGTTTCGTGAGACATCATGGAACTCCCCGGATTAAGCAGCCCAGTTGATCTACCCTCCTCTTTCAACTCAAAAAGAAATGAAAACCAGAGAGGGCAAGTGTTGGTCAAGGTCACCCTGCAGCTGCTGGGCACAGCCTCAGGGCAGCGCAATCTAGCTGACTCAGGGCTGCAAGGAGTTGGGGGAGGGGCAGACTTGGGAGGCTCCCAGCTTCCCTAAAGGAGAAAGGGGACATTAAAACATGAAAGGGCCCACCAGCCACCTCCGCCACAGGCAACAACTGACTGTAGTAATGGTTCCCTCTAGGAAGAAAGGATGCGAAAAGGTCCTGACCCACCCCCACGTGGAAGATTTAAGGTAGGAACGTTAAGCACTGAGCAGGTAGTGGGAAGGAGCCTGGTAGGGGTGAGAGGAATAGAGTTTCTTGCGGGGTGTAGGAGAGGGCATGGCAGCATTGGCGGGGAAGCCTTGCTACTTAGAAGGGCTAAGAGTCTCCAGCGCTTGCAGACCAGAATCCTGCACCACTTTTTTCCTGTAGAGGAAACTTGTTTTTTTCTTGACGGGGGAGGGATCTCAGAGTGGGGTCGCCTAAGCTTGGGGTAGAGAGCAGCAGGGGGCCCAGAGTTGAAGTACAGCCGTAAAGAACCTGGAAAGGGGGAACCGAAGGACAACCCAGAGTTGGGGCGTCCCACAAGAGACCCAGAGTAAAACTGCGATTTAACTAGGGGCATGCACTTTGCAGAGGGAAGGTGAGCAGCGCGCCACTCCACGCGCAGTCCGGCAGCGCCCCCTTGGGTCACGCAGCCCAAAAGTTCGCTGCGGGGTCAGCAGGGGCGCCCCTCCCCCCACCCGCGCGCCTGCGTACCTCGGAACCACTCCTCGGACTGCAGCGTGCTCTGCACCGCGTGGCCTTCAAGCTGCGCGCGAATCTCGCGCAGCGCCGACGTCACGTCGCACTTCAGGGCGTCGCGCGTCTCGGCCTGCATCTGCGCCTGCGCGGCGCCGGAGCCCTGGATCTGGCCGAGCAGCTCGCCCACCTCTTCCTGGTGGTGGCGCCGCAGGTAGCCGCACTCCTCCTGCAGCGCCTGCGCCTTCTTCTGCAGGTCCACGCGCGCCGCCTCGGCCTCCTGCGCGAAGCGCGCCAGCGCGCGGGCCGCCGCCTCGGCCTCCTCTCGCTGCCGGGCCTCGTCGTCTAGGCGCTGGCGCACGTGCGCGATGTCCTCGAGCAGGTGCTCCTGCTCCAGGCGTAGCTGACCGCGCGCCGCGCCCAGGCGCAGCACCGCGCCGCGCATCTCGCGGACCTCGCGCTCGTACAGCTCGCCCATAGCGGAGCGGCCCGCCTGCTGCTGCCGCAGCGCCGCAGCCTCGCCCTCCAGGCTGCGGTTGTGCGCCTCCAGCTGCCGCACCTTGTCGATGTACCCGGCGAAGCGGTCGTTCAGCGCCTGCAGCTGCTCCTTCTCACTGCGTGAGGTGGCCACCGCCACCATGCAGCCCTCCGGCCCGTTGCTCAGCGTGTCCAGCGAGTCGGTGCTTGAGGCGGCGCCTGCGCCACGGAAGCGGCTGGGCGAGGCGGACACGGAGCTCACGGACGTCCGTGTCCACGAGTGGAAGCCGCTGGAGGAGCCAGCGGCGGAGCGCGTCCCGCCTGCGCCACCCTTTCGGGCTAGCGCGTAGTGGAGGCTGCCGCCGCCATGCAGCGGCGCGAACGGGGCGCCCAGCAGCGCGTCCGCGCCGCCGAAGCTCATCATGGCCTGAGCAGGTGCGCGAGGCCGGGACGGGGCGGGAGGCACTGCGGCAGCACCAGGGCGCCGGCCCTTTTATAGCCGCCGCGGCCGGGTCCAACCCCTTGGCAGTGAGAGGGTGGGGAGGAGGGCCCCGCCCTCTCCGCCTCCTCCCCTGCGGCCCCCCGGCCGACCGGCTCCGCCGCAGTGAGAGGGGCGGGGCAGGGGACCGAGGAGGGAAGGGGAATCGACGCTGCGTCAGAGGAGACCCTCGAGGTCGGGGAAGCGGGCAGAGGACTCCCGGAGTGGGCCAGTGAGGACCCCCGGGTGCGCGTCGGAAGAGCCTGCGAGTGTGTTCGGAATAAGAAAGGGGACTTGAAACAGGGAGAGGACAAGGAGAAACCTGATGGGAATAGGGGCAGGATGCCCTCGGGATGGAGCAATGGAAGATTGCAGTCATTAGGATGAGGGGATCCCTGTATGAGACAGGACACGAGGCTTTCCAAATAGTTAAGAGAGGCTTTCAGGATAGGGGGTGCAGAGACTGTGCAGCCAGCCCCGGAACAGAGGAGGGAGCAAGGCAGTCCTGAATGGGAGCATGGACGCTCCATAGAACGGAGACAGGAGACCCCTGACCGGGGGAGGTACAGTGTTCTCCTAACATCTAGAGGACCCACTTGGAGAGCGCTCAGGAAACTCCGCGGCCAGCCCCGGAATAGATGAAGGGGGACCTGGAGTTGGGGAGAATAGCAAGGCTACCCTGAATGGGGGTATGGGAGACACTGCAGAGGATGGAGAGAGGGAACCCCGGATGGGTGGGGTTGGGGGGAGGCAAGGCGTTCTCTAAAAAGTCTGCAGTGGCCCCCGAGAGAGGAGATGGGAGACCCTGCTGCCAGCCCCAGTAAAGGGGACGGACCCTCAGCGAAGCGGGCAGAAGGTCCCCTGAACAGGCAGGAGAAAGCTGGGCTGAGTTTGAGGGGCAGAGAACCTACAGTGGGGGTACCGTAGGAGGGCTTGGGCATGAAGTTGAGAGAGCTGGCCCCTGTGTGGGGTGGGGGGAAATGATGGGTGTCACCCGAGCCAGCTTCTGCACACTGGGGTCAGCTAGGCAGTTTGCTGGTCGAATGACCTTGGACAAGCTGTGTCCTCCCACCCTTGTTTTTCCATCTGTACAACGAAGGGGTCTTGCCCCAGAGACAAGCTCCAACTCCTGACCCCCGACTGCCCCAGGAAGTTCCACTTTGAGGGGTCTCTGGCTGAACTGGGGATGGGGAACCCACATCTTGCCGTTCTGTCAACACTAGGAAGTCCTCTTTTCTCCCTCCCCCTCCCCATCTTCTCAGCCTCAACTTGTCCTCTCTTCCCCCACTCCTGTAACAGACAAGCAGGCGCCTGAGTCGGCATCCCTTCTCTCTTACAGGGAAGTGATGAGATGCTTTCTGAGTACCAAAGTCCCTCACCCCAATAGGATGTCAGGTAGAAGAAGGGGTCCCCAGGATTTAGGGGGCCCTGCAACGGCTGTGACATTTGGCTCTTTATTGGTTTTGGCTCATGTTTTATGCTGTGGGAGTGGGGGTGGTGCTGCGGCTGGCGCTTCAGCACCGGGGACAGGGCCTGCTCTTTGTTGGGCGTGGGGCGGGGAAAGAGATTAACCCTCTGCTTTTACTTTAGGGGAAGGAAGGGAGGGACACTGTGCTGAGGGGACCCGAGAGGGGAGGCAAGTGATCCAGCAGGGTCACATAGTGAGCCAGGGACCCCTCCCTGGACTTCCTGTCGGGGGTCCAGTTCCGTGTTTTCTGGGCTGTTCCCCTCCTGCTTAGGGACCCCTGCGAAAGGACCCCTGGGGATGCTGGGAGCCCTGAGACGCCCTTGAGAGTTTGTAGACTCGTACTTCCACTCTGAACCTCCCCCAGGCAGTTATCTCAACACCCACTACACCCCTACTTTACGCGGGTTTTCCTGCTCCAGGATCCCCAGGACAGAACAGACATATCCCCCAGGAAAGACCTCTGCCAGTTCCTTTCTCTTTGCCCTCTGTCTCCTTCCAGCCCCCTAGTTCTAAGCAGACCCTCAGAGCTGGGAAATTGATGGCGCTGTCCCTTTAACCACTTTTTACTGGAAGGAGAGTGCGCTGGGAGGAGGGAAGAGGGGGAGGGAGTTTCTGGTTTTGCATGAAGCAGCAGAACATGATGAAGCATTTTTCCCCCATCTAAAGATCCAGTCGTGCTCCAGTTTGCAGAGGGCAAGGGGCTGGTTGCAGGTGGTGCTGGGAGGATGGAGGTGAGTGGCTGGTCTGAGGTCCCTGAGAAAGGCATGGGGCGGGTGTTGGGCAGGACTCCCTTGCTCTCAGATGGCTCCCCATTTATTTGTCATTCTACTTGGAATTTTGCCATTGGAGCCTTGTTCCTCTGGGTCTTTTCAGTCTGCACAATGCTGATACATTCTCTGGATGTGAGAAGGCTCACAAGCAGCTGACAGCAAGGAGGAATGGGGGTTTGGGGTAAAAAGGGGGCTCCAAGATGTATTCTGTTGAGGCCAAGGGGCCACAGCCATCAGATTGAAGCTGCCTATGTAGTCCAAGAAGCCCCAAGCATGACTCTTGTGGCTGGAGAAAATGGCATGAGGGCTGGAGCCCTGAGGTCAGTTCCCCCAAAGGACCCTTCAGGCTCACCTCCAGAAAGCCATCCCTGGCCGCCTTCACCCCCACATTTAGTTAATTGTCCCCTCCTGGTGGTTCCCATGGTTCCCAGTGCTAATCTCTAATGCTGCTCTTACCACTCTGTGGTGTGTAAATGAATCAATGAATGAATAAGTTCCGTCTGTTTTCCAGCCAAACTTGTGGTCTGGAGGGGCTGTGAATGGTTCTGCCCTGAGTCCTTGGGGCTCGAATCGCTTTCACTTTCCTCCCTGTGATTCTTACCATTTGGAAGTGAGTAGAACGATATATTCATCTATCTATCCATCCATCCATCCATCCACCCGCAGTTCTTGGAGTTATCTTCCCAAAGCCTGGACTTGGCAGTGAGCATTGTGAATCTCCCAGAGGCAAGTAGAGTGTGCTGAGTTTCCCAAACTTAACTGCTCTTGGGCCCTTCTTGTCCCCAAGTGTCTCCAGGACAAGGGTCCAGTGGCTCACACTGAAAGGCACACTGAGATTTGGGTCTCAGCCCCTGCTGTCCCTGGGCTTTTGTGGACCCCAAGGCTGGTGCTCTTCAGGAACATACTTGCAGGGTGAAGGATAAAGCAGTAGGCGCTTAAACAGCCACCAGCCTCGCTGCTACTCACTGTTCACTCGGCAGGGATCATTGTCCCTATTTTATAGGCAAGTAGACTGAGACCCGAGTGAGGAAGTGGGTTGCCTGAGTTGACTCAGTGACACAGCAGAGCCCAGTGTCTCAACTCATCCAGACCTGAGCTGGCACAGGACACAGGGTGGAAACTTGTTTCTCTTGCATAGTAGAGGCCTAGATGGTCTGAGGGTAGAGGATTGAGAGGCCTTCAGAGAGGGGATGGGCAGCTTTCTGGGGCTGGGGTTGGGGTCTGGCCTCTGACAGATCACCCATCTGTGAGTCTCTGTGGCCCATGACCCAACATCAGCATAGCCTGTATGTGAGAACCTACTTCCCGGCCTGGGTACCCTCTGACACTGTGTCACCTCTGTGGGAGCTACATGTGACCACTGTTTGAGGTGCAGATGCTAAATTCCTCGTTCTCTTTTCCTGCTTGTTTTTTCTCCATAGGACTTGACGTTTTCTGACATGCTACTATGCATCTTCTCCACTAAATAGAACTTCATCAGGACAGGGATTTTTGTTTGTTTTATTCACTGCTGACATCTCCAGTGCTCGGAATATTGTCTGGCATATAGTGGGTGCGTAGCAAATAGTTTCAGGATGACTGCGAGGCTCTGCCTGAGAGGCCCGTGATCACCCAGACATTTTAGCACTGGGCATCTGGACAGTTCCAGGCCCTAGGGAGGCTGCCCGCAGGTTGACTGGAGAAGGAGGTCTTGAAAGTGTGGCCCCCATCCTGGGGCCTGAAGCCTCCCAGCCCGAGCTGTGTAGTCCCCTTTGCTGAGGCTCAACCTTGCTGGCTTTGTTGTCTGCAGACTCACCCTGCTCCTGCACAGCCTGTTCCTTTTTATGTTCAGCAATTCCTTTTAGGAAGTGCTGAGCCTTTCTTCTTGCTTCCTTTCCCCGTGAATGTCCGTCATGTCCCACATTCTCCGTCTCTCCTCTTGCCCCTCTCTCCACTGCATTCCCTTCCTTCTCCCTCTATTATATCCCTCCCTCTTTCCCCCCAATTTCTCTGTCCTCTTTATTCCTCCCCTTTTCCTTCCTCTCCCTCCTTTTTTCTCCTCTCCCTCCTTAGAGATGCCGTCTTTTTGCCGCGTTTGAATCTGATTTATAATAAAAGGGCGGCAGTCTCCCCATGTCTACTCCGTTTAGGACACAGACAGCAAAAAACTAAACTGTGTGCAGTTTTGCATAAGCCTCCCCCTCCTAGCTTCCACCCACAGCCTTAACCCCCAGGGACCAGCCACCGCAGACTCAGGCCTGCAGCAGGTCTGCCTGCCTGCCTGCCCGCCCATCTGCCGCCCTGGGACTGCACCAGGTGGGAAGCTGGATTCTACCCCAAAGGCCAGGAACTGGTGGATGGGGTCACAGGTCCACCCTATCTCCCCTGCTCTAGTTCCTGCTGTGGGAGATTATGGATGAATGATTCTTGGGCTGTGGTTCCCAAGATGGAGAGTGAGATGGTTTATTGGACTTTCATCTAGTAACTGGGGCTTGCCAAGTTACAAGTGCCCCAGGGCTGTCATTACTCTTCTTACCTAGAGCAAGAGGCTAAGTAGCAATGGGAATGAAGGCTGTCATCTAAGGAAAGGAGGAGATGCCTGGCCTCTCTTATTCTTGCAATCCTATGAAATAGATACCATTACTATCCCCATGTCATGGTTTGAGAAATGAAGAGAGGCTGGTCATGGTAGCTTATGCCTGTAATCCCAGCACTTTGGAAGGCCAAGGTGGGAGGATCACTTGAGCCCAGGAGCTTGAGACCAGGCTGGGCAACATAGCAAGACTCCATCTCAATAATAATAATAAATAAGTTTTTTAAAAAATGATGGCTCAGGTTGAATAACGTGCCCCAGGTTATACATCTGATAAGTGGTGGAGCTGGGATTTGAACTCAGGTCTGATGGGCTCTGCAGGAGGAATACTGAACTACAAGACTGTACATCTCGCATTCAAGGCAGGCCCAACTGGACCCAGCACTTTCCTGATTCCATCACAGCTGGCCAGGGTCTTTGCTCTAGGGCTTCCTTCTGGTGCCTTGGTGGAAGCAAGGGGGATTGAAAATTGGCTCAATCAAAATTTGTTTCTTTTCCCCCAGGTTTTTATACTCTCTCTGGTTGTCTTGAGGGAAGGAGGCTTCCCAAGCAGTATAGTCAGGAAGTTAAAATGATGACTAGCTCAGCTTTCTGGATGATCCTGACTGAAGAGATAGATAAGTAGAAAGAAGTCATTGGACAGTGATTGATGTTCACAGTGTACATCTTTTTTTTTTTTTTCAAAGTCTTGCTCTGTCGCCCAGGCTGGAGTGCAGTGGCACAATCTCAGCTCACTGCAACCTCTGCCTCCCAGGTTCAAGTGATTCTTGTGCCTCAGCCTCCCGAGTAGCTGGAATTACAGGTATGTACCACATGCCTGGCTAATTTTTGCACTTTTAGTAGAGGTGGGGTTTCGCCATGTTGGCCAGCCTGGTCTGGTCTTGAACTCCTGGCCTCAAGTGATCCACTCGCCTCGACCTCCCAAAGTGCTGGGATTACTAACGTGAGCCACTGCACCTGGGCTCACAGTTTAAATCTTGAGTAATGGAGAAAACAGCTTTGTCATCCTTTACGTGGTGGGCACCTGCCTGCTGTGCTCCACGTACATACGTGGTGTCTGCAACAACTCTGTCAGCTGTGCAAGGTCACTGTCCTCTACAGAGTAGAACATCGACACTGAGAAAGTGACCTGCCAAGGCCACAGAGTGAGGTGGTGGAGGGGCTGTGGCTCACATCTAGGCTTTGTCCAGGACCCTTGCACCTCCCACTATCCATACTGACTCTCAGGAAAAAAATAAGAAAAGGTTTCAGTGCTGTTTCATCTCTTTATTCTGGGGGAGAAGGAGGGAGCCCATAGTACATTTGAGAGAAAGATTCATGCCAGAGTTTAAATTGGAATGTTGGGGGCCGAGTGCAGTGGCTCACACCTGTAATTCCAGCACTTTGGGAGGCCAAGGCATGCGGATCACCTGAGGTCAGGAGTTCAAGATGCCTGGCCAACATAGTGAAACCCTGTCTCTACTAAAAATACAAAAATTAGCCGGGTGTGGTGGTGCGTGCCTGTAATCCCAGCTACTCAGGAGGCTGAGGCAGGAGAATCACTTGAACCCAGGAGGCGGAGGTTGCAGTGAGCCGAGATCACGCCATTGCACTCCAGCCTGGGTGACAGAGCAAGACTCTGTCTTGAAAAACAAAACAAAAAAAAACGGGATGTTGGGACTTGAGGGAGAATTAACAGTTGGATAAAAGTTCATTCCTGATGGCCAATGTTGGCATTACTGAGCCCTAAAAGAGGCCCCCCAGGCTGGGCACGGTGGCTCACGCCTATAATCCCAGCACATTGGGAGGCCAGGGTGGGAGGATCGCTTGAGCCTAGGAGTTTGAGACCAGTGTGGGCAACAAAGTGAGACCCTGTTTCTACAAAACAATTTAAAAATTAGCTGGGTGTGGTTGTGTGCATCTGTAGATCCAGCTACCTGGGAGGCTGAGCTGGGAGGATCATTGAGCCCAGGAGTTCAAGGCTTCTGTGAGCTATAATTGTGCCACTGCACTCCAGTCTAGGTGACAGAGTGAGACCCTGTCTCTTAAAAAAAAAAAAAAAGAAAAGAAGAAAAGCCCCTGCAAGTGGGCATGGCCCCAGGCTTGGTGGACATGAAGCTTCCCCTGCCCAGGGGCAGCTGCACCCTGGCTTGTCTCTCTGCAGCTGTGTGGGGACATGGAGGACTCGGGTGCAGCCTGGCACTGCCAAAGACAGCAGATGCCAGCATGAGAGAGACATGCCAAGAAAGTTTCTGAAACCTCTGCCTCAGCCCCGAGCGAGGCACTCCGTGTGCATGGAAAACTGCAGGAGCCCAGAGTGAACCTGAACCAGGGACCTGGCCACACACAGCAGGGACAGCTCTGCTGGGCGCCTGAACTACCTTCTGGCATTTGGGGAGGTTAAGTGGCAGAGGAAAGAGGAAGCAGGGCTTGAGGTCTTTGCTGTCTGTTAGGGGGAGTTAGTGGAGAAAATATACTTTTTATTAAACGTTTTGCTTGTGTGGTGGTCACCACAGAATTTCATTGCAAATTCCTGGGCTCGTCCAGATCATCCAAGTCAGAATCTCTGATGGAGCCTGGGGATGTGCATTCTGAGCCAGTGTCCCTAGAGCAGGAGAACTGACTCTGGATCTGGCCTCAGCCAACCTTCCAGGCTCATCGTTCGAGCTCCCACAGAGTCTTTCACATAGACTTTTACAAACATGATCTCATTTAAGCTCCACAACTCTTTATCTATCTATCTATCTATCTATCTATCTATCTATCTATCTATCTATCTATCTGTGTATCTATCTATCTATCTAGTATTTTGAGATGGAGTCTTGCTGGAGTGCAGTGGCGCGATCTCGGCTCACTGCAACCTCTGCCTCCCGGGTTCAAGAGATTCTCCTGCCTCAGCCTTCCGAGTAGCTAGAACTACAGGCACGTGCCACCATGCCCAGCTAATTTTTTTTTTTTTTGTATTTTTAGTAGAGATGGGGTTTCACCGTGTTAACCAGGAATGTCTCGATCTCCTGACCTCGTGATCCACCCGCCTCAGCCTCCCAAAGTGTTGGGATTACAGGCGTGAGCTACCACGCCCGGCCCTAGGCTCCACAACTCTAAGAAGCTTTGGTGAGTAAACAGGCCTGAAGAGGTGAAATCATTTGCCAAGCACAGAACCAGGATTCAAAACTTTGCAGTCTGGCTCTAGAATGCCACCCCGTCCCACCTCAGGACTGGCCCTCTCCTGGGAATTCCTTTCTCCCTCATCCTCCATGTCCTTTCTCTGTGGAGCCGTGTGCCCTGCCCATATCTAAGTACATGTCCTGGGATCCAGGGGATGACATATACTGGAGTCCCTGGTGCCCATGCCTTCTGACTCCTCCTAGACCATGAGCTGAGGGGACAGAGAGTGGCTCTTGCACCTGGGGGGCTCAGGGTGTGTACAGTGGGTGAACAAATGGGGGGACATTTGAGGCCCAGGCAGAAGGACACAGAATGTTCCCTGGTGGCAGCTTAGGAGGGGGCAGGGGCTGGGCAGAGGGGGCAGTTGTGTCCTTCCCTACCTGAACCTCTTCTACTCTCTGGGTCCACCGCCATGAAATTATTCATTCTGCCACATTCTCTTGCACCCTGGCTTTCTGTCTGAAATCCTTTCTCTGCCCCAGTATTCACTCTCCGACTCTTCAGCTCACTCCTCTTAATCCTTGAGACGTTCCAGGTTACCTGCTCCCTCAGGAGCTTTGCTAACCCCAAGGTTGTGATAACTGCTTTCTTTAGGCTCCCACAGTTGCTCGTTCTAATCCCAACACGGTATTTGAAGGGCTATTTATTTCTCTCCTGACTGGACTGTTGGGAGCTTTGTAAGGGCAAGAGCCATCTCTTATTTAATGTTGTATTCCTAGGGCCTGGTACCAGAGTATTAGTAAAGCTTGTTGAATGAATAAATGCGATTCAGCGGTGACTTCCCATAGATGCTACTCCATGTTATTCATGTCACTGTAATCCATCTTGGGCTGCATTTCACAAGCCAGCATTGAAGAAAGCTGGGCTCAGAGAGCCTTAGAGACCATCAGTGGTACAGATGAGGAAACCGAGGGCAGGCCTGGTTCTCACTGCCTCGCCTCTGGTTCTGCGACTGGAGCTCCGTGAGGACAGGAACCAGGACTTGGATGTTGTTTTCTGGCTTGGCAGGGTGCTTTGCCTGTGATCACAGTCATTGCCTTTTACTAGGTGCTTATAAGGTGCCAGCCCCTTTATGTGTTTTTCCACGTTTGCATATCCACAGGGAAGGGAGGTGCAATTATCCCCATTTACAGATCAACAAACAGGTGTAGGGAGGTTAAGTAATTTGGTTATTTATCAGTGTCTTCTGGTTCCTTTCATAAATTTATCTGGGTTCCACTGTAGCCTCACAACATTGTCATCAAACCCACTTTCGGCGGTGCAGTGGCTCACACCTCTAATCCCAGCACTTTGGGCGGCCAAGCGAGAGGATCGCTTGAGCCCAAGAGCTCGAGACCAGCCCAGGCAACACAGAAAAACCTCATTTCTACAAAAAATAAAATAAAATAAAAATAGCTGGGTGTGGTGGCGCGCCTGTGGTCCCAGCTCCTCGGGAGGCTGAGGTGGGAGGATCGCTTAAACCTGGAGAGGCGGAGGTTGCAGTGAGCCGAGATCACGCCACGGCACTCCAGCCTCGGCAACAGAGCGAGACCCTGTCACAAACGAACACTCTCCAGAGGGGGAAACCGAGGCCCTGGGACTGCAGAACCGGTTTCTCTGCCTCGGCATACTGCCTCGGCTGGCTCTGCGCTTGATAGAATCGCGCCAGCAACAGCGCCCCCTGCAGGCGACGGCGGGCACGCCTGCGTCACAGCCATCCCCGCCCTTCCGCAGTGGGAACGCCCGAATGCTTCATCCGGCCTCGGAAGATTGAAGAGCGCTCCTCCAAACTGGCTCAGGGAAGCCGGGCGCGCCGCCTTCAGCCCCGCCTTGGCCGCCGCGGCGTCGCATCAGTGGCATCCCCAGGGGCTGCAGGAAGGTAGCCGTAGCCTTGGCTGTCGTGGCTTCCCTCATCGTAACGGCCTGGGGGCAGCGGTGCTCAAAGAACTCAGGGGGTGGGGCTCAGGTAGGGGCATGGCCGGTGCTCTTCCTAGGGGCGGGATCCTGGGAAAGGGGATCGTCCCAGAAGGACCCAGCCACAAGCGAGGACACCGGTGCATCAAGCCCTGGCGCCTGTGTTTCCGTGAACAGCGCCCTTCTCCTCCTCCCCAGACATTGGTCCTGGCACCTGTGTGTCCGTGGGCAGCAGCCTCTTCCTCCTCCCCAGACCTCAGTTTCTGCACGTGTGAAAAGGGGGCTCTTCCAAGACTCTTACATGAATGCAAAAATCGGGATTTCGTCCAGCATGCTCAGAATTGTCGACCCTACACAGGCACCTGAGAAATCAGAGCTGAGTCAGGAGAGCCGGTGTGGATGTACTGGGAGCTCCTTCCCTTGCTGCGTCAGCACTCTTGAGACTGGAGAGCCCTGGAGGTTGGGGACCGGCCACTTGCTGGTGGACCAGACTCCCTGCAGTCTGGGATGGTGACAGACATGAGACATGGCTGTGGAAGTAATTGGTAACAGTAGTAGCCCGCATTTATTGAGCACTGACTATGTGCTTGGCTTTGTGTGAAGGCCAGTCACATGCATTATTTCCCCCTCCCACAGCCTTGTCTGGTGGGTACTGCTATTCTGTCCCCAGTTTACTGATGAGACATTTGAGGCCCAGAGTTGCTGGGTAGTAACCAGTCCAAAGTCACCCTGCTGACAAGTAGCTGAAGCAGTAGTCCCCAGTCTTACCTACTATACTGTACTGAGAAAGGTTTGACCTGGAAGGCAGAATGGCAGAGGGGGAAATGACAAGGTTCTAGCAGTATTAATAATAGATACCATGCATTGAGCACCCACTAAGTGCTGGGTGCTGGCCCAAGGGCATTTCATGAATCATTTATCCTCCTGACAGTGAACCCTATACTGTAAATTTTATTTCCATTTCAAAGGTGAAGCTCGGAGAAGTCACTTTATATGCCTTAGGGCACATATAGTAAAAAACTAACTTTTCGATTCATTGATGGTGCATTCTGCCTGCCTGCATGTCACTCTTAGGCATATTCCACTCTTCTCTGAGTCAAGCTTTCTCCTACTGTGAAATGAGAGGCTTGGACTGGGAGACTTTGAATGTTCTTTCCCCAGCCGATGTTGTTTGATTTTAGGGAGTTTTGACATGAATGTTGGAGATCTGGATTTGAGGATTACATTTGTTCCTAATTAACTGTAATTTAGGCACATCTCTGCATCTCTGGGCTTCAGTTTCCGCATTAGTAAAAGGTAAGACTAGACCAGGCATGTTGGCTCATGTCTGTAATCCCAGAACTTTGGGAGGCTGAGGAGGAAGGAGGATTGCTTGAAGCCAGGAGTTTGAGTCCAGCCTGGGCAACAAAACAAGACCCTGTCTCTACAATAAAAAAAAATTAAAAAGTTCAAATTAGCCAGGTGCAGTGGCTCATGCTTGAAGTCCCAGCTACTTGGAGAGCTGAGGTGGGATACTCACTTGAGCCCAGGAGTTTGAGGCTGCAGTGAGCTATAATCATGCCACTGCGCTCTATCCTGGGCAACAGAGCGAGGCCCCGTCTCTAAAAAGAAAATGGGCTGGGCACGGTGACTCACACCTGTAATCCTAACACTTTGGGTGGCTGAGGTGGGAGGATCACTTGATCCCAGGAGTTTGAGACCAGCCTGGGCAACATGGCAAAACCCTGTCTCTACGAAAAATACAAAAAACTGGCTAGGCATGGTGACATGTACCTGTGGTTCCAGCTATCTAGCTATCCGGGAGGTGGAGGCAGAAGGATCACCTGAGCCCAGGAGGTTGAGACTGCAGTGATCCATGATCACGCCACAGCCTTGGCAACAGAGTGAGACCCTGTCTCAAAAAAAAAGAAAAAAAAATTACAGAGATTAGCATTTCCAATCACCAGAGTGCCTTCTGGCTTGAATATTTTATGACTGCAGATGAAGAGACAACCTGAGGTTCAGCAAACTGCATCCTCTGAGAAAGTCTAATGAACGTAAATCTGCTACCTTACTCAGAATGTCCCTGGCACAAGTTTCCAAGGATAGACCCTCTGTGTGAAGGGGAGCAGCTGCCTTTGAGCAATCAGCAGTAACTGCTTGGGGAGGCTTAGTCCCCTAATAGTTCAGAAGTCACCTCCAAGGTCAGACGGACCCACAGCTGAACGCCAACACTTCCACTTCTCGGTAAGGCATCTCAGGCAAGTGACCTTTCCTTTCTGTATCTCAGTTTCCCCCGTATAAGATGGAATGCTGGCTGGGCACGGTGGCTAATCCCAGCACTTTGGGAGGCCGAGGCAGGCAGATCACCTGAGGTCAGGAGTTAAAGACCAGCCTGGCCAACATGGTAAAACCCCATGTCTACTAAAAATACAAAAATTAGCCAGGTGTGTTGGCAGGCACCTGTAGTCCCAACTACTAGGGAGGCTGAGGCAGGAGAATCGCTTGAACCCGGGAGGCAGAGGTTGCAGTGAGCCGAGATTGCTCCACTGCACTCCAGCCTGGGCAACAGAGCAAGACTCCCTCTCAAAACAAAAACAAACAAAACAAAAGGATGCTAATGGTACCAGCTTCATCTGGGAATTGGTGAGTAAACATGGGGGGAAAAATCTAACACCATTTTTTTGGCCTAGAAAATTCTCAGTAAACACAACTGTTACTAGTTGTGTCTGCAGCACCAGTCTGGGCAGCACCAGTCTGGGCACTGGGGGAGTTCCTAAGCCTTGGACCCCACCCATCCTCTATGCCCTAAGATGATTTTAGGGGAGGAGAGGCAGGATCCTGCTGAGTCAGTGGAGGATCCAGAGTTAGGACTCAGGCAGCCCCCACCTCTGAGGTTGCCAACACCAGCTTCTGGCCTAAAGTGGCATTAATGGGCATTCTAGCATGTCCCTAGCTGGCAGCAGCTCCTGGGGAGGGGCAGCGGCCGCTGAGAATAGGGAGGCAGAGGAATGGTGTTAGGAGTCCTGCAGTGTGTGCCGGGGACTATGGCTCAGCGCATCCTTGTGGTTCCAGGTGAGTTAACTGAAGTGTGTGCCGTGCTTTGGGCTTTTATGAAGTGCATTTGCATCAGTTGTGTCCTCAGGACAGGGTTGAGTGGCATAGGATACAGGGTTCTCAACGAGCAGTATAGGGATTCGACTACTGCAGACCTGTACAAGGGATCAGGAACCCCCAAAA